>NC_000010.11:40722855-40927908 GCF_000001405.40 Homo sapiens
TCTGTTTAGTTCTGTGCGGTTTATCCCGTTTCCAACGAAATCCTCATAGAGGACCAAATATCCACTTGCAGTTTCTACAAAAAGAGTGTTTCAAAGCTGTACTATCAAAGAAAGGTTCAGGAGGAGGAGCCAAGATGGCCGAATAGGAACAGCTCCGGTCTACAGCTCCCAGCGTGAGCGACGCAGAAGACGGGTGATTTCTGCATTTCCATCTGAGGTACCGGGTTCATCTCACTAGGGAGTGCCAGACAGTGGGCTCAGGCCAGTGTGTGTGCGCACCGTGCGCGAGCCGAAGCAGAGCGAGGCATTGCCTCACCTGGGAAGCGCAAGGGGTCAGGGAGTTCCCTTTCCGAGTCAAAGAAAGGGTTGACGGACGCACGTGGAAAATCGGGTCACTCCCACCCGAATATTGCGCTTTTCAGACCGGCTTAAGAAACGGCGCACCACGAGACTATATCCCACACCTGGCTCAGAGGGTCCTACGCCCACGGAATCTCGCTGATTGCTAGCACAGCAGTCTGAGATCAAACTGCAAGGCGGCAACGAGGCTGGGGGAGGGGCGCCCGCCATTGCCCAGGCTTGCTTAGGTAAACAAAGCAGCTGGGAAGCTCGAACTGGGTGGAGCCCACCACAGCTCAAGGAGGCCTGCCTGCCTCTGTAGGCTCCACCTCTGGGGGCTGGCACAGACAAACAAAAAGACAGCAGTAACCTCTGCAGACTTAAGTGTCCCTGTCTGACAGCTTTGAAGAGAGCAGTGGTTCTCCCAGCACGCAAGAATTCTCAGTAAATCCTTTGTGTTGTGTGTATTCAACTCACAGAGTGGAACCTTCCTTTATTCAGAGCAGTTTTGAAACACTCTTTTTGTGGAATTTGCAAGTGGAGATTTCAAGCGAATTCACGCCAATCTTAGACATGGAAACATCTTCGTATTAAAAGTACACAGAGTCATTCGCAGAAACTAGTTTGTGATGTGTGCCTTCAACTCACAGAGTTTAAGCTTTCTTTTCATAGAGCAGTTTGGAAACAGTCTATTTGTAAAGTCTGCAAGTGGATATTTGGACCTCTTTGAGGCCTTCGTTGGAAACGGGATTTCTTCATATAACGCTAGACAGAAGAATTCTCAGTAACTTCTTTGTGTTGTGTGTATTCCACTCACAGAGTTGAACCTTTCTTGAGAGAGAGCAGAGTTGAAACACTCTGTTTGTGGAATTTGCTAGTGCAGATTTCAAACGCTTCGAAGACAGTGATAGAAAAGGATATATCTTCGTATTAAAACTAGACAAAATCATTCTCAGAAAACACTTTGTGATGTGTGTGTTCAACTCACAGAGTTTAACCTTTCTTTAATCGAGCAGTTTGGAAATACACTCTTTGTAAGTCTGCAGCTGGATAATTTTCCCTCTATGAGCCCTTCGTTGGAAACGGGATTTCCTCTTATAATGCTAGACAGAAGAATTCTCAGTAACTTCTTTGTGTTGTTTGTATTCAACTCACAGATTTGAACCTTCCTTTGGAGAGAGCAGATTTGAAACACTCTGTTTTTGGAATTTGCAAGTGCAGATTTCAAGCGCTTCTAGGCCTATGGCGGAAAATTAAATATCTTCGTATAAAAACTACACAGAATCATTCTCAACAACTACTTTGTGATGTGTGCGTTCACCTCACAGAGTTTAACCTTTCTTTTCATAGAGCAGTTTGGAAACACTCTGTTTGTAAAGTCTGCAGGTGCTTATTTGGACTTCTTTGAGGCCTTCGTTGGAAACGGGATTTCTCATATAATGCTAGACAGAAGAATTCTCAGTCACTTCTTTGTGTTGTGTGTATTCAAGTCACAGAGTTGAACCTTCCTTTACACAGAGCAGTTTTGAAAAACTCTTTCTGTGGAATTTGCAAGTGGAGATTTCAAGCGATTTGAGGCTAATCTTTGAAATGGAAATATCTTCGTGTAAAAACTACACAGAATCATTGTCAGAAACTGCTTTGTTATGTGTGCGTTCAGCTCACAGAGTTCCACCTTTCTTTTCATAGAGCAGTTTGGAAAGACTCTGTCTGTAAAGTCTGCAAGTGATTACTTGGACCCCTTTGAGGACTTCGTTGGAAGCGGGATTTTTTCATTTACTGCCAGACAGAAGAATTCTCAGTAAATCCTTTGTGTTGTGTGTATTCAACTCACAGAGTGGAACCTTCCTTTATTCAGAGCAGTTTTGAAACACTCTTTTTGTGGAATTTGCAAGTGGAGATTTCAAGCGAATTCACGCCCATCTTAGACATGGAAACATCTTCGTATTAAAAGTACACAGAGTCATTCGCAGAAACTTGTTTGTGATGTGTGCCTTCAACTCACAGAGTTTAACCTTTCTTTTCATAGAGCAGTTTGGAAACACTCTATTTGTAAAGTCTGCAAGTGGATATTTGGACCTCTTTGAGGCCTTCGTTGGAAACGGGATTTCTTCATATAACGCTAGACAGAAGAATTCTCAGTAACTTCTTTGTGTTGTGTGTATTCCACTCACAGAGTTGAACCTTTCTTGAGAGAGAGCAGAGTTGAAACACTCTGTTTGTGGAATTTGCTAGTGCAGATTTCAAACGCTTCGAAGACAGTGATAGAAAAGGATATATCTTCGTATTAAAACTAGACAAAATCATTCTCAGAAAACACTTTGTGATGTGTGTGTTCAACTCACAGAGTTTAACCTTTCTTTAATCGAGCAGTTTGGAAATACACTCTTTGTAAGTCTGCAGCTGGATAATTGTCCCTCTATGAGCCCTTCGTTGGAAACAGGATTTCCTCTTATAATGCTAGACAGAAGAATTCTCAGTAACTTCTTTGTGTTGTTTGTATTCAACTCACAGATTTGAACCTTCCTTTAGAGAGAGCAGATTTGAAACACTCTGTTTTTGGAATTTGCAAGTGCAGATTACAAGCGCTTCTAGGCCTATGGCAGAAAAGGAAATATCTTCGTATAAAAACTACACAGAATCATTCTCAACAACTACTTTCTGATGTGGTGCGTTCAACTCACAGAGTTTAACCTTTCTTTTCATAGAGCAGTTTGGAAACACTCTGTTTGTAAAGTCTGCAGGTGCTTATTTGGACTTCTTTGAGGCCTTCGTTGGAAACGGGATTTCTTCATATAATGCTAGACAGAAGAATTCTCAGTCACTTCTTTGTGTTGTGTGTATTCAAGTCACAGAGTTGAACCTTCCTTTACACAGAGCAGTTTTGAAAAACTCTTTCTGTGGAATTTGCAAGTGGAGATTTCAAGCGATTTGAGGCTAATCTTTGAAATGGAAATATCTTCGTGTAAAAACTACACAGAATCATTCTCAGAAACTGCTTTGTTATGTGTGCGTTCAGCTCACAGAGTTCCACCTTTCTTTTCATAGAGCAGTTTGGAAAGACTCTGTCTGTAAAGTCTGCAAGTGATTACTTGGACCCCTTTGAGGACTTCGTTGGAAGCGGGATTTTTTCATTTACTGCTAGACAGAAGAATTCTCAGTAAATCCTTTGTGTTGTGTGTATTCAACTCACAGAGTGGAACCTTCCTTTATTCAGAGCAGTTTTGAAACACTCTTTTTGTGGAATTTGCAAGTGGAGATTTCAAGCGAATTCACGCCAATCTTAGACATGGAAACATCTTCGTATTAAAAGTACACAGAGTCATTCGCAGAAACTAGTTTGTGATGTGTGCGTTCAACTCACAGAGTTTAACCTTTCTTTTCATAGAGCAGTTTGGAAACACTCTGTTTGTAAAGTCTGCAGGTGCTTATTTGGACTTCTTTGAGGCCTTCCTTGGAAACGGGATTTCTTCATATAATGCTAGACAGAAGAATTCTCAGTCACTTCTTTGTGTTGTGTGTATTCAAGTCAGAGTTGAACCTTCCTTTAGACAGAGCAGTTTTGAAAAATTCTTTCTGTGGAGTTTGCAAGTGGAGATTTCAAGCGATTTGAGGCTAATCTTTGAAATGGAAATATCTTCGTGTAAAAACTACACAGAATCATTCTCAGAAACTGCTTTGTCATCTGTGCGTTCAGTTCACAGAGTTTCACCTTTCTCTTCATAGAGCAGTTTGGAAAGACTCTGTCTGTAAAGTCTGCAAGTGATTAGTTAGACCCCTTTGAGGCCTTCGTTGGAAGCGGGATTTCTCATTTACTGCTAGACAGAAGAATTCTCAGTAAATCCTTTGTGTTGTGTGTATTCAACTCACAGAGTGGAACCTTCCTTTATTCAGAGCAGTTTTGAAAAACACTTTTTGTGGAATTTGCAAGTGGAGATTTCAAGCGATTTGACGTCAATCTTAGACATGGAAATATCTTCATATTAAAAGTACACAGAGTCATTCGCAGAAACTAGTTTGTGATGTGTGCCTTCAACTCACAGAGTTTAACCTTTCTTTTCATAGAGCAGTTTGGAAACACTCTATTTGTAAAGTCTGCAAGTGGATATTTGGACCTCTTTGAGGCCTTCGTTGGAAACGGGATTTCTTCATATAACGCTAGACAGAAGAATTCTCAGTAACTTCTTTGTGTTGTGTGTATTCCACTCACAGAGTTGAACCTTTCTTGAGAGAGAGCAGAGTTGAAACACTCTGTTTGTGGAATTTGCCAGTGCAGATTTCAAACGCTTCGAAGACAGTGATAGAAAAGGATATATCTTCGTATTAAAACTAGACAAAATCATTCTCAGAAAACTCTTTGTGATGTGTGTGTTCAACTCACAGAGTTTAACCTTTCTTTAATCGAGCAGTTTGGAAATACACTCTTTGTAAGTCTGCAGGTGGATATTTGTCCCTCTTTGAGCCCTTCGTTGGAAACGGGATTTCCTCATATAATGCTAGACAGAAGAATTCTCAGTAACTTCTTTGTGTTGTTTGTATTCAACACACAGATTTGAACCTTCCTTTAGAGAGAGCAGATTTGAAACACTCTGTTTTTGGAATTTGCAAGTGCAGATTTCAAGCGCTTCTAGGCCTATGGCAGAAAAGGAAATATCTTCGTATAAAAACTACACAGAATCATTCTCAACAACTACTTTGTGATGTGTGCAGTTCAACTCACAGAGTTTAACCTTTCTTTTCATAGAGCAGTTTGGAAACACTCTGTTGGTAAAGCCTGCAAGTGCTTTTTTGGACTTCATTGAGGCCTTCGTTGGAAACGGGATTTCTTCATATAATGCTAGACAGAAAAATTCTCAGTCACTTCTTTGTGTTGTGTGTATTCAAGTCACAGAGTTGAACCTTCCTTTAGACAGAGCAGTTTTGAAAAATTCTTTCTGTGGAATTTGCAAGTGGAGATTTCAAGCGATTTGAGGCTAATCTTTGAAATGGAAATATCTTCGTGTAAAAACTACACAGAATCATTCTCAGAAACTGCTTTGTCATCTGTGCGTTCAGTTCACAGAGTTTCACCTTTCTCTTCATAGAGCAGTTTGGAAAGACTCTGTCTGTAATGTCTGCAAGTGATTAGTTAGACCCCTTTGAGGCCTTCGTTGGAAGAGGGATTTCTCATTTACTGCTAGACAGAAGAATTCTCAGTAAATCCTTTGTGTTGTGTGTATTCAACTCACAGAGTGGAACCTTCCTTTATTCAGAGCAGTTTTGAAAAACACTTTTTGTGGAATTTGCAAGTGGAGATTTCAAGCGATTTGACGCCAATCTTAGACATGGAAATATCTTCATATTAAAAGTACACAGAGTCATTCGTAGAAACTAGTTTGTGATGTGTGCCTTCAACTCACAGAGTTTAACCTTTCTTTTCATAGAGCAGTTTGGAAACACTCTATTTGTAAAGTCTGCAAGTGGATATTTGGACCTCTTTGAGGCCTTCGTTGGAAACGGGATTTCTTCATACAACGCTAGACAGAAGAATTCTCAGTAACTTCTTTGTGTTGTGTGTATTCAACTCACAGAGTTGAACCTTTCTTTAGAGAGAGCAGAGTTGAAACACTCTGTTTTTGGAATTTGCAACTGCAGATTTCAAGCGATTCTAGGCCTATGGCAGAAAAGGAAATATCTTCGTATAAAAACTACACAGAATCATTCTCAACAACTACTTTGTGATGTGTGCGTTCAACTCACAGAGTTTAACCTTTCTTTTCATAGAGCAGTTTGGAAACACTCTGTTTGTAAAGCCTGCAAGTGCTTTTTTGGACTTCATTGAGGCCTTCGTTGGAAACGGGATTTCTTCATGTAATGCTAGACAGAAGAATTCTCAGTCACTTCTTTGTGTTGTGTGTATTCAAGTCACAGAGTTGAACCTTCCTTTAGACAGAGCAATTTTGAAAAATTCTTTCTGTGTAATTTGCAAGTGGAGATTTCAAGCGATTTGAGGCTAATCTTTGAAATGGAAATATCTTCGTGTAAAAACTCCACAGAATCATTCTCAGAAACTGCTTTGTCATCTGTGCGTTCAGTTCACAGAGTTTCACCTTTCTCTTCATAGAGCAGTTTGGAAAGACTCTGTCTGTAAAGTCTGCAAGTGATTAGTTAGACCCCTTTGAGGCCTTCGTTGGAAGCGGGATTTCTCATTTACTGCTAGACAGAAGAATTCTCAGTAAATCCTTTGTGTTGTGTGTATTCAACTCACAGAGTGGAACCTTCCTTTATTCAGAGCAGTTTTGAAAAACACTTTTTGTGGAATTTGCAAGTGGAGATTTCAAGCGATTTGACGCCAATCTTAGACATGGAAATATCTTCATATTAAAAGTACACAGATTCATTCGTAGAAACTAGTTTGTGATGTGTGCCTTCAACTCACAGAGTTTAACCTTTCTTTTCATAGAGCAGTTTGGAAACACTCTATTTGTAAAGTCTGCAAGTGGATATTTGGACCTCTTTGAGGCCTTCGTTGGAAACGGGATTTCTTCATATAACGCTAGACAGAAGAATTCTCAGTAACTTCTTTGTGTTGTGTGTATTCAACTCACCGAGTTGAACCTTTCTTTAGAGAGAGCAGAGTTGAAACACTCTTCTTGCGGAATTTGCTAGTGCAGATTTCCAACGCTTCGAAGACAGTGATAGAAAAGGATATATCTTCGTATTAAAACTAGACAAAATCATTCTCAAAAACTACTTTGTGATGTGCGCGTTCAACTCACAGGGTTTAACCTTTGTTTTCATAGAGCAGTTTGGAAACACTCTGTTTGTAAAGTCTGCAGGTGCTTATTTGGACTTCTTTGAGGCCTTCGTTGGAAACGGGATTTCTTCATATAATGCTAGACAGAAGAATTCTCAGTCATTTCTTTGTGTTGTGTGTATTCAAGTCACAGAGTTGACCCTTCCTTTACACAGAGCAGTTTTGAAAAACTCTTTCTGTGGAATTTGCAACTGGAGATTTCAAGCGATTTGAGGCTAATCTTTGAAATGGAAATATCTTCGTGTAAAAACTACACAGAATCATTCTCAGAAACTGCTTTGTTATGTGTGCGTTCAGCTCACAGAGTTCCACCTTTCTTTTCATAGAGCAGTTTGGAAAGACTCTGTCTGTAAAGTCTGCAAGTGATTACTTGGACCCCTTTGAGGACTTCGTTGGAAGCGGGATTTTTTCATTTACTGCTAGACAGAAGAATTCTCAGTAAATCCTTTGTGTTGTGTGTATTCAACTCACAGAGTGGAACCTTCCTTTATTCAGAGCAGTTTTGAAACACTCTTTTTGTGGAATTTGCAAGTGGAGATTTCAAGCGAATTCACGCCCATCTTAGACATGGAAACATCTTCGTATTAAAAGTACACAGAGTCATTCGCAGAAACTAGTTTGTGATGTGTGCCTTCAACTCACGGAGTTTAACCTTTCTTTTCATAGAGCAGTTTGGAAACACTCTATTTGTAAGTCTGCAAGTGGATATTTGGACCTCTTTGAGGCCTTCGTTGGAAACGGGATTTCTTCATATAACGCTAGACAGAAGAATTCTCAGTAACTTCTTTGTGTTGTGTGTATTCCACTCACAGAGTTGAACCTTTCTTGAGAGAGAGCAGAGTTGAAACACTCTGTTTGTGGAATTTGCTAGTGCAGATTTCAAACGCTTCAAAGACAGTGATAGAAAAGGATATATCTTCGTATTAAAACTAGACAAAATCATTCTCAACAACTTCTTTGTGATGTGTGCGTTCAACTCACAGAGTTTAACCTTTCTTTTCATAGAGCAGTTTGGAAACACTCTGTTTGTAAAGCCTGCAAGTGCTTTTTTGGACTTCATTGAGGCCTTCGTTGGAAACGGGATTTCTTCATATAATGCTAGACAGAAGAATTCCTCAGTCACTTCTTTGTGTTGTGTGTATTCAAGTCACAGAGTTGAACCTTCCTTTACACAGAGCAGTTTTGAAAAACTCTTTCTGTGGAATTTGCAAGTGGAGATTTCAAGCGATTTGAGGCTAATCTTTGAAATGGAAATATCTTCGTGTAAAAACTACACAGAATCATTCTCAGAAACTGCTTTGTTATGTGTGCGTTCAGCTCACAGAGTTCCACCTTTCTTTTCATAGAGCAGTTTGGAAAGACTCTGTCTGTAAAGTCTGCAAGTGATTACTTGGACCCCTTTGAGGACTTCGTTGGAAGCGGGATTTTTTCATTTACTGCTAGACAGAAGAATTCTCAGTAAATCCTTTGTGTTGTGTGTATTCAACTCACAGAGTGGAACCTTCCTTTATTCAGAGCACTTTTGAAACACTCTTTTTGTGGAATTTGCAGGTGGAGATTTCAAGAGAATTCACGCCAATCTTAGACATGGAAACATCTTCGTATTAAAAGTACACAGAGTCATTCGCAGAAACTAGTTTGTGATGTGTGCCTTCAACTCACGGAGTCTAACCTTTCTTTTCATAGAGCAGTTTGGAAACACTCTATTTGTAAAGTCTGCAAGTGGATATTTGGACCTCTTTGAGGCCTTCGTTGGAAACGGGATTTCTTCATGTAACGCTAGACAGAAGAATTCTCAGTAACTTCTTTGTGTTGTGTGTATTCAACTCACAGAGTTGAACCTTTCTTGAGAGAGAGCAGAGTTGAAACACTCTTTCTGTGGAATTTGCTAGTGCAGATTTCAAACGCTTCGAAGACAGTGATAGAAAAGGATATATCTTCGTATTAAAACTAGACAAAATCATTCTCAGAAAACACTTTGTGATGTGTGTGTTCAACTCACAGAGTTTAACCTTTCTTTAATCGAGCAGTTTGGAAATACACTCTTTGTAAGTCTGCAGCTGGATAATTGTCCCTCTATGAGCCCTTCGTTGGAAACGGGATTTCCTCTTATAATGCTAGACAGAAGAATTCTCAGTAACTTCTTTGTGTTGTTTGTATTCAACTCACAGATTTGAACCTTCCTTTGGAGAGAGCAGATTTGAAACACTCTGTTTTTGGAATTTGCAAGTGCAGATTGCAAGCGCTTCTAGGCCTATGGCAGAAAAGGAAATATCTTCGTATAAAAACTACACAGAATCATTCTCAACAACTACTTTGTGATGTGTGCGTTCAGCTCACAGAGTTTAACCTTTCTTTTCATAGAGCAGTTTGGAAACACTCTGTTTGTAAAGTCTGCAGGTGCTTATTTGGACTTCTTTGAGGCCTTCGTTGGAAACGGGATTTCTTCATGTAATGCTAGACAGAAGAATTCTCAGTCACTTCTTTGTGTTGTGTGTATTCAAGTCACAGAGTTGAACCTTCCTTTACACAGAGCAGTTTTGAAAAACTCTTTCTGTGGAATTTGCAAGTGGAGATTTCAAGCGATTTGAGGCTAATCTTTGAAATGGAAATAGCTTCGTGTAAAAACTACACAGAATCATTCTCAGAAACTGCTTTGTTATGTGTGCGTTCAGCTCACAGAGTTCCACCTTTCTTTTCATAGAGCAGTTTGGAAAGACTCTGTCTGTAAAGTCTGCAAGTGATTACTTGGACCCCTTTGAGGACTTCGTTGGAAGCGGGATTTTTTCATTTACTGCTAGACAGAAGAATTCTCAGTAAATCCTTTGTGTTGTGTGTATTCAACTCACAGAGTGGAACCTTCCTTTATTCAGAGCAGTTTTGAAACACTCTTTTGGTGGAATTTGCAAGTGGAGATTTCAAGCGAATTCACGCCAATCTTAGACATGGAAACATCTTCGTATTAAAAGTACACAGAGTCATTCGTAGAAACTAGTTTGTGATGTGTGCCTTCAACTCACAGAGTTTAACCTTTCTTTTCATAGAGCAGTTTGGAAACACTCTATTTGTAAAGTCTGCAAGTGGATATTTGGACCTCTTTGAGGCCTTCGTTGGAAACGGGATTTCTTCATACAACGCCAGACAGAAGAATTCTCAGTAACTTCTTTGTGTTGTGTGTATTCCACTCACAGAGTTGAACCTTTCTTGAGAGAGAGCAGAGTGGAAACACTCTGTTTGTGTAATTTGCTAGTGCAGATTTCAAACGCTTCGAAGACAGTGATAGAAAAGGATATATCTTCGTATTAAAACTAGACAAAATCATTCTCAACAACTACTTTGTGATGTGTGCGTTCAACTCACAGAGTTTAACCTTTCTTTTCATAGAGCAGTTTGGAAACACTCTGTTTGTAAAGCCTGCAAGTGCTTTTTTGGACTTCATTGAGGCCTTCGTTGGAAACGGGATTTCTTCATATAATGCTAGACAGAAGAATTCTCAGTCACTTGTTTGTGTTGTGTGTATTCAAGTCACAGAGTTGAACCTTCCTTTAGACAGAGCAGTTTTGGAAAATTCTTTCTGTGGAGTTTGCAAGTGGAGATTTCAAGCGATTTGAGGCTAATCTTTGAAATGGAAATATCTTCGTGTAAAAACTACACAGAATCATTCTCAGAAACTGCTTTGTCATCTGTGCGTTCAGTTCACAGAGTTTCACCTTTCTCTTCATAGAGCAGTTTGGAAAGACTCTGTCTGTAAAGTCTGCAAGTGATTAGTTAGACCCCTTTGAGGCCTTCGTTGGAAGCGGGATTTCTCATTTACTGCTAGACAGAAGAATTCTCAGTAAAACCTTTGTGTTGTGTGTATTCAACTCACAGAGTGGAACCTTCCTTTATTCAGAGCAGTTTTGAAAAACACTTTTTGTGGAATTTGCAAGTGGAGATTTCAAGCGATTTGACGCCAATCTTAGACATGGAAATATCTTCATATTAAAAGTACACAGAGTCATTCGTAGAAACTAGTTTGTGATGTGTGCCTTCAACTCACAGAGTTTAACATTTCTTTTCATAGAGCAGTTTGGAAACACTCTATTTGTAAAGTCTGCAAGTGGATATTTGGACCTCTTTGAGGCCTTCGTTGGAAACGGGATTTCTTCATACAACGCTAGACAGAAGAATTCTCAGTAACTTCTTTGTGTTGTTTGTATTCAACACACAGATTTGAACCTTCCTTTAGAGAGAGCAGATTTGAAACACTCTGTTTTTGGAATTTGCAAGTGCAGATTTCAAGCGCTTCTAGGCCTATGGCAGAAAAGGAAATATCTTCGTATAAAAACGACACAGAATCACTCTCAACAAATACTTTGTGATGTGTGCGTTCAACTCACAGAGTTTAACCTTTCTTTTCTTAGAGCAGTTTGGAAACACTCTGTTTGTAAAGCCTGCAAGTGCTTTTTTGGACTTCATTGAGGCCTTTGTTGGAAACAGGATTTCTTCATATAATGCTAGACAGAAGAATTCTCAGTCACTTCTTTGTGTTGTGTGTATTCAAGTCACAGAGTTGAACCTTCTTTTAGACAGAGCAGTTTTGAAAAATTCTTTCTGTGGAATTTGCAATTGGAGATTTTAAGAGATTTGAGGCTAATCTTTGAAATGGAAATATCTTCGTGTAAAAACTACACAGAATCATTCTCAGAAACTGCTTTGTTATGTGTGCGTTCAGTTCACAGAGTTTCACCTTTCTCTTCATAGAGCAGTTTGGAAAGACTCTGTCTGTAAAGTCTGCAACTGATTAGTTATACCCCTTTGAGGCCTTCGTTGGAAGCGGGATTTCTCATTTACTGCTAGACAGAAGAATTCTCAGTAAATCCTTTGTGTTGTGTGTATTCAACGCACAGAGTGGAACCTTCCTTTATTCAGAGCAGTTTTGAAAAACACTTTTTGTGGAATTTGCAAGTGGAGATTTCAAGCGATTTGACGCCAATCTTAGACATGGAAATATCTTCATATTAAAAGTACACAGAGTCATTCGTAGAAACTAGTTTGTGATGTGTGCCTTCAACTCACAGAGTTTAACCTTTCTTTTCATAGAGCAGTTGGGAAACACTCTATTTGTAATGTCTGCAAGTGGATATTTGGACCTCTTTGAGGCCTTCGTTGGAAATGGGATTTCTTCATACAACACTAGACAGAAGAATTCTCAGTAACTTCTTTGTGTTGTGTGTATTCAACTCACAGAGTTGAACCTTTCTTGAGAGAGAGCAGAGTGGAAACACTCTTTTTGTGGAATTTGCTAGTGCAGATTTCAAACGCTTCGAAGACAGTGATAGAAAAGGATATATCTTCGTATTAAAACTAGACAAAATCATTCTCAGAAAACACTTTGTGATGTGTGTGTTCAACTCACAGAGTTTAACCTTTCTGTAATCGAGCAGTTTGGAAATACACTCTTTGTAAGTCTGCAGGTGGATAATTGTCCCTCTATGAGCCCTTCGTTGGAAACGGGATTTCCTCATATAATGCTAGACAGAAGAATTCTCAGTAACTTCTTTGTGTTGTTTGTATTCAACTCACAGATTTGAACTTTCCTTTAGAGAGAGGAGATTTGAAACACTCTGTTTTTGGAAATTGTAAGTGCAGATTACAAGCGCTTCTAGGCCTATGGCAGAAAAGGAAATATCTTCGTGTAAAAACTACACAGAATCATTCTCAACAACTACTTTGTGATGTGTGCTTTCAACTCACAGAGTTTAACCTTTCTTTTCATAGAGCAGTTTGGAAACACTCTGTTTGTAAAGTCTGCAGGTGCTTATTTGGACTTCTTTGAGGCCTTCGTTGGAAACGGGATTTCTTCATATAATGCTAGACAGAAGAATTCTCAGTCACTTCTTTGTGTGGTGTGTATTCAAGTCACAGAGTTGAACCTTCCTTTACACAGAGCAGTTTTGAAAAACTCTTTCTGTGGAATTTGCAAGTGGAGATTTCAAGCGATTTCAGGCTAATCTTTGAAATGGAAATATCTTCGTGTAAAAACTGCACAGAATCATTCTCAGAAACTGCTTTGTTATGAGTGCGTTCAGTTCACAGAGTTTCACTTTTCTCTTCATAGAGCAGTTTGGAAAGACTCTGTCTGTAAAGTCTGCAAGTGATTAGTTAGACCCCTTTGAGGCCTTCGTTGGAAGCGGGATTTCTCATTTACTGCTAGACAGAAGAATTCTCAGTAAATCCTTTGTGTTGTGTGTATTCAACTCACAGAGTGGAACCTTCCTTTATTCAGAGCAGTTTTGAAAAACACTTTTTGTGGAATTTGCAAGTGGAGATTTCAAGCGATTTGACGCCAATCTTAGACATGGAAATATCTTCATATTAAAAGTACACAGAGTCATTCGTAGAAACTAGTTTGTGATGTGTGCCTTCAACTCACAGAGTTTAACCTTTCTTTTCATAGAGCAGTTTGGAAACACTCTATTTGTAAAGTCTGCAAGTGGATATTTGGACCTCTTTGAGGCCTTCGTTGGAAACGGGATTTCTTCATATAACGCTAGACAGAAGAATTCTCAGTAACTTCTTTGTGTTGTGTGTATTCAACTCACAGAGTTGAACCTTTCTTTAGAGGGAGCAGAGGTGAAACACTCTTTTTGTGGAATTTGCTAGTGTAGATTTCAAACGCTTCGAAGACAGTGATAGAAAAGGATATATCTTCGTATTAAAAGTAGACAAAATCATTCTCAGAAAACTCTTTGTGATGTGTGTGTTCAACTCACAGAGTTTAACCTTTCTTTAATCGAGCAGTTTGGAAATACACTCTTTGTAAGTCTGCAGGTGGATATTTGGCCCTCTTTGAGCCCTTCGTTGGAAACGGGATTTCCTCATATAATGCTAGACAGAAGAATTCTCAGTAACTTCTTTGTGTTGTTTGTATTCAACACACAGATTTGAACCTTCCTTTAGAGAGAGCAGATTTGAAACACTCTGTTTTTGGAATTTGCAAGTGCAGATTTCAAGCGCTTCTAGGCCTATGGCAGAAAAGGAAATATCTTCGTATAAAAACTACACAGAATCATTCTCAACAACTACTTTGTGAATGTGTGCGTTCAACTCACAGAGTTTAACCTTTCTTTTCATAGAGCAGTTTGGAAACACTCTGTTTGTAAAGCCTGCAAGTGCTTTTTTGGACTTCATTGAGGCCTTCGTTGGAAACGGGATTTCTTCATATAATGCTAGACAGAAGAATTCTCAGTCAGTTCTTTGTGTTGTGTGTATTCAAGTCACAGAGGTGAACCTTCTTTTAGACAGAGCAGTTTTGAAAAATTCTTTCTGTGGAATTTGCAATTGGAGATTTTAAGCGATTTGAGGCTAATCTTTGAAATGGAAATATCTTCGTGTAAAAACTACACAGAATCATTGTCAGAAACTGCTTTGTTATGTGTGCGTTCAGCTCACAGAGTTCCACCTTTCTTTTCATAGAGCAGTTTGGAAAGACTCTGTCTGTAAAGTCTGCAAGTGATTACTTGGACCCCTTTGAGGACTTCGTTGGAAGCGGGATTTTTTCATTTACTGCTAGACAGAAGAATTCTCAGTAAATCCTTTGTGTTGTGTGTATTCAACTCACAGAGTGGAACCTTCCTTTATTCAGAGCACTTTTGAAACACTCTTTTTGTGGAATTTGCAAGTGGAGATTTCAAGCGAATTCACGCCAATCTTAGACATGGAAACATCTTCGTATTAAAAGTACACAGAGTCATTCGCAGAAACTAGTTTGTGATGTGTGCCTTCAACTCACGGAGTTTAACCTTTCTTTTCATAGAGCAGTTTGGAAACACTCTATTTGTAAAGTCTGCAAGTGGATATTTGGACCTCTTTGAGGCCTTCGTTGGAAATGGGATTTCTTCATATAACGCTAGACAGAAGAATTCTCAGTAACTTCTTTGTGTTGTGTGTATTCCACTCACAGAGTTGAACCTTTCTTGAGAGAGAGCAGAGTTGAAACACTCTGTTTGTGGAATTTGCTAGTGCAGATTTCAAACGCTTCGAAGACAGTGATAGAAAAGGATATATCTTCGTATTAAAACTAGACAAAATCATTCTCAGAAAACACTTTGTGATGTGTGTGTTCAACTCACAGAGTTTAACCTTTCTTTAATCGAGCAGTTTGGAAATACACTCTTTGTAAGTCTGCAGCTGGATAATTGTCCCTCTATGAGCCCTTCGTTGGAAACGGGATTTCCTCTTATAATGCTAGACAGAAAAATTCTCAGTAACTTCTTTGTGTTGTTTGTATTCAACTCACAGATTTGAACTTTCCTTTAGAGAGAGCAGATTTGAAACACTCTGCTTTTGGAAATTGTAAGTGCAGATTACAAGCGCTTCTAGGCCTATGGCAGAAAAGGAAATATCTTCATGTAAAAACTACACAGAATCATTCTCAACAACTACTTTGTGATGTGTGCGTTCAACTCACAGAGTTTAACCTTTCTTTTCATAGAGCAGTTTGGAAACACTCTGTTTGTAAAGTCTGCAGGTGCTTATTTGGACTTCTTTGAGGCCTTCGTTGGAAACGGGATTTCTTCATATAATGCTAGACAGAAGAATTCTCAGTCACTTCTTTGTGTTGTGTGTATTCAAGTCACAGAGTTGAACCTTCCTTTACACAGAGCAGTTTTGAAAAACTCTTTCTGTGGAATTTGCAAGTGGAGATTTCAAGCGATTTGAGGCTAATCTTTGAAATGGAAATATCTTCGTGTAAAAACTACACAGAATCATTCTCAGAAACTGCTTTGTTATGTGTGCGTTCAGCTCACAGCGTTCCACCTTTCTTTTCATAGAGCAGTTTGGAAAGACTCTGTCTGTAAAGTCTGCAAGTGATTACTTGGACCCCTTTGAGGACTTCGTTGGAAGCGGGATTTTTTCATTTACTGCTAGACAGAAGAATTCTCAGTAAATCCTTTGTGTTGTGTGTATTCAACTCACAGAGTGGAACCTTCCTTTATTCAGAGCACGTTTGAAACACTCTTTTTGTGGAAATTGCAAGTGGAGATTTCAAGCGAATTCACGCCAATCTTAGACATGGAAACATCTTCGTATTAAAAGTACACAGAGTCATTCGCAGAAACTAGTTTGTGATGTGTGCGTTCAACTCACGGAGTTTAACCTTTCTTTTCATAGAGCAGTTTCGAAACACTCTGTTTGTAAAGTCTGCAGGTGCTTATTTGGACTTCTTTGAGGCCTTCTTTGGAAACGGGATTTCTTCATATAATGCTAGACAGAAGAATTCTCAGTCACTTCTTTGTGTTGTGTGTATTCAAGTCACAGAGTTGAACCTTCCTTTAGACAGAGCAGTTTTGAAAAATTCTTTCTGTGTAATTTGCAAGTGGAGATTTCAAGCGATTTGAGGCTAATCTTTGAAATGGAAATATCTTCGTGTAAAAACTACACAGAATCATTCTCAGAAACTGCTTTGTCATCTTTGCGTTCAGTTCACAGAGTTTCACCTTTCTCTTCATAGAGCAGTTTGGAAAGACTCTGTCTGTAAAGTCTGCAAGTGATTAGTTAGACCCCTTTGAGGCCTTCGTTGGAAGCGGGATTTCTCATTTACTGCTAGACAGAAGAATTCTCAGTAAATCCTTTGTGTTGTGTGTATTCAACTCACAGAGTGGAACCTTCCTTTATTCAGAGCAGTTTTGAAACACTCTTTTTGTGGAATTTGCAAGTGGAGATTTCAAGCGATTTGACGCCAATCTTAGACATGGAAATATCTTCATATTAAAAGTACACAGAGTCATTCGTAGAAACTAGTTTGTGATGTGTGCCTTCAACTCACAGAGTTTAACCTTTCTTTTCATAGAGCAGTTGGGAAACACTCTATTTGTAAAGTCTGCAAGTGGATATTTGGACCTCTTTGAGGCCTTCGTTGGAAACGGGATTTCTTCATATAACGCTAGACAGAAGAATTCTCAGTAACTTCTTTGTGTTGTGTGTATTCAACTCACAGAGTTGAACCTTTCTTTAGAGGGAGCAGAGGTGAAACAGTCTTTTTGTGGAATTTGCCAGTGTAGATTTCAAACGCATCGAAGTCAGTGATAGAAAAGGAGATATCTTCGTATTAAAAGTAGACAAAATCATTCTCAACAACTACTTTGTGATGTGTGCGTTCAACTCACAGAGTTTAACCTTTCTTTTCATAGAGCAGTTTGGAAACACTCTGTTTGTAAAGCCTGCAAGTGCTTTTTTGGACTTCTTTGAGGCCTTCGTTGGAAACGGGATTTCTTCATATAATGCTAGACAGAAGAATTCTCAGTCACTTCTTTGTGTTGTGTGTATTCAAGTCACAGAGTTGAACCTTCCTTTAGACAGAGCAGTTTTGAAAAATTCTTTCTGTGGAGTTTGCAAGTGGAGATTTCAAGCGATTTGAGGCTAATCTTTGAAATGGAAATATCTTCGTGTAAAAACTACACAGAATCATTCTCAGAAACTGCTTTGTCATCTGTGCGTTCAGTTCACAGAGTTTCACCTTTCTCTTCATAGAGCAGTTTGGAAAGACTCTGTCTGTAAAGTCTGCAAGTGATTAGTTAGACCCCTTTGAGGCCTTCGTTGGAAGCGGGATTTCTCATTTACTGCTAGACAGAAGAATTCTCAGTAAATCCTTTGTGTTATGTGTATTCAACTCACAGAGTGGAACCTTCCTTTATTCAGAGCAGTTTTGAAAAACACTTTTTGTGGAATTTGCAAGTGGAGATTTCAAGCGATTTTACGCCAATCTTAGACATGGAAATATCTTCATATTAAAAGTACACAGAGTCATTCGTAGAAACTAGTTTGTGATGTGTGCCTTCAACTCACAGAGTTTAACCTTTCTTTTCATAGAGCAGTTTGGAAACACTCTATTTGTAAAGTCTGCAAGTGGATATTTGGACCTCTTTGAGGCCTTCATTGGAAACGGGATTTCCTCATACAACGCTAGACAGAAGAATTCTCAGTAAGTTCCTTGTATTGTTTGTATTCAACTCACAGATTTGAACCTTCCTTTAGAGAGAGCAGATTTGAAACACTCTGTTTTTGGAATTTGCAAGTGCAGATTGCAAGCGCTTCTAGGCCTATGGCAGAAAAGGAAATATCTTCGTATAAAAACTACACAGAATCATTCTCAGAAAACACTTTGTGATGTGTGTGTTCAACTCACAGAGTTTAACCTTTCTTTAATCGAGCAGTTTGGAAATACACTCTTTGTAAGTCTGCAGCTGGATAATTGTCCCTCTATGAGCCCTTCGTTGGAAACGGGATTTCCTCATATAATGCTAGACAGAAGAATTCTCAGTCACTTCTTTGTGTTGTGTGTATTCAAGTCACAGAGTTGAACCTTCCTTTACACAGAGCAGTTTTGAAAAACTCTTTCTGTGGAATTTGCAAGTGGAGATTTCAAGCGATTTGAGGCTAATCTTTGAAATGGAAATATCTTCGTGTAAAAACTACACAGAATCATTCTCAGAAACTGCTTTGTTATGTGTGCGTTCAGCTCACACGGTTCCACCTTTCTTTTCATAGGGCAGTTTGGAAAGACTCTGTCTGTGAAGTCTGCAAGTGATTACTTGGACCCCTTTGAGGACTTCGTTGGAAGCGGGATTTTTTCATTTACTGCTAGACAGAAGAATTCTCAGTAAATCCTTTGTGTTGTGTGTATTCAACTCACAGAGTGGAACCTTCCTTTATTCAGAGCACTTTTGAAACACTCTTTTTGTGGAATTTGCAAGTGGAGATTTCAAGCGAATTCACGCCAATCTTAGACATGGAAACATCTTCGTATTAAAAGTACACAGAGTCATTCGCAGAAACTAGTTTGTGATGTGTGCCTTCAACTCACAGAGTTTAACCTTTCTTTTCATAGAGCAGTTTGGAAACACTCTATTTGTAAAGTCTGCAAGTGGATATTTGGACCTCTTTGAGGCCTTCGTTGGAAACGGGATTTCTTCATATAACGCTAGACAGAAGAATTCTCAGTAACTTCTTTGTGTTGTGTGTATTCCACTCACAGAGTTGAACCTTTCTTGAGAGAGAGCAGAGTTGAAACACTCTGTTTGTGGAATTTGCTAGTGCCGATTTCAAACGCTTCGAAGACAATGATAGAAAAGGATATATCTTCGTATTAAAACTAGACAAAATCATTCTCAGAAAACACTTTGTGATGTGTGTGTTCAACTCACAGAGTTTAACCTTTCTTTAATCGAGCAGTTTGGAAATACACTCTTTGTAATTCTGCAGGTGGATAATTGTCCCTCTATGAGCCCTTCGTTGGAAACGGGATTTCCTCATATAATGCTAGACAGAAGAATTCTCAGTAACTTCTTTGTGTTGTTTGTATTCAACTCACAGATTTGTACCTTCCTTTGGAGAGAGCAGATTTGAAACACTCTGTTTTTGGAATTTGCAAGTGCAGATTGCAAGCGCTTCTAGGCCTATGGCAGAAAAGGAAATATCTTCGTATAAAAACTACACAGAATCATTCTCAACAACTACTTTGTGATGTGTGCGTTCAACTCACAGAGTTTAACCTTTCTTTTCATAGAGCAGTTTGGAAACACTCTGTTTGTAAAGTCTGCAGGTGCTTATTTGGACTTCTTTGAGGCCTTCGTTGGAAACGGGATTTCTTCATATAATGCTAGACAGAAGAATTCTCAGTCACTTCTTTGTGTTGTGTGTATTCAAGTCACAGAGTTGAACCTTCCTTTACACAGAGCAGTTTTGAAAAACTCTTTCTGTGGAATTTGCAAGTGGAGATTTCAAGCGATTTGAGGCTAATCTTTGAAATGGAAATATCTTCGTGTAAAAACTACACAGAATCATTCTCAGAAACTGCTTTGTTATGTGTGCGTTCAGCTCACAGAGTTCCACCTTTCTTTTCATAGAGCAGTTTGGAAAGACTCTGTCTGTAAAGTCTGCAAGTGATTACTTGGACCCCTTTGAGGACTTCTTTGGAAGCGGGATTTTTTCATTTACTGCTAGATAGAAGAATTCTCAGTAAATCCTTTGTGTTGTGTGTATTCAACTCACAGAGTGGAACCTTCCTTTATTCAGAGCACTTTTGAAACACTCTTTTTGTGGAATTTGCAAGTGGAGATTTCAAGCGAATTCACGCCAATCTTAGACATGGAAACATCTTCGTATTAAAAGTACACAGAGTCATTCGCAGAAACTAGTTTGTGATGTGTGCCTTCAACTCACGGAGTTTAACCTTTCTTTTCATAGAGCAGTTTGGAAACACTCTATTTGTAAAGTCTGCAAGTGGATATTTGGACCTCTTTGAGGCCTTCGTTGGAAACGGGATTTCTTCATATAACGCTAGACAGAAGAATTCTCAGTAACTTCTTTGTGTTGTGTGTATTCAACTCACAGAGTTGAACCTTTCTTGAGAGAGAGCAGAGTTGAAACACTCTGTTTGTGGAATTTGCTAGTGCAGATTTCAAACGCTTCGAAGACAGTGATAGAAAAGGATATATCTTCGTATTAAAACTAGACAAAATCATTCTCAGAAAACACTTTGTGATGTGTGTGTTCAACTCACAGAGTTTAACCTTTCTTTAATCGAGCAGTTTGGAAATACACTCTTTGTAAGTCTGCAGGTGGATAATTGTCCCTCTATGAGCCCTTCGTTGGAAACAGGATTTCCTCTTATAATGCTAGACAGAAGAATTCTCAGTAACTTCTTTGTGTTGTTTGTATTCAACTCACAGATTTGAACCTTCCTTTAGAGAGAGCAGATTTGAAACACTCTGTTTTTGGAATTTGCAAGTGCAGATTACAAGCGCTTCTAGGCCTATGGCAGAAAAGGAAATATCTTCGTATAAAAACTACACAGAATCATTCTCAACAACTACTTTGTGATGTGTGCGTTCAACTCACAGAGTTTAACCTTTCTTTTCATAGAGCAGTTTGGAAACACTCTGTTTGTAAAGTCTGCAGGTGCTTATTTGGACTTCTTTGAGGCCTTCGTTGGAAACGGGATTTCTTCATATAATGCTAGACAGAAGAATTCTCAGTCACTTCTTTGTGTTGTGTGTATTCAAGTCACAGAGTTGAACCTTCCTTTACACAGAGCAGTTTTGAAAAACTCTTTCTGTGGAATTTGCAAGTGGAGATTTCAAGCGATTTGAGGCTAATCTTTGAAATGGAAATAGCTTCGTGTAAAAACTACACAGAATCATTCTCAGAAACTGCTTTGTTATGTGTGCGTTCAGCTCACACAGTTCCACCTTTCTTTTCATAGAGCAGTTTGGAAAGACTCTGTCTGTAAAGTCTGCAAGTGATTACTTGGACCCCTTTGAGGACTTCGTTGGAAGCGGGATTTTTTCATTTACTGCTAGACAGAAGAATTCTCAGTAAATCCTTTGTGTTGTGTGTATTCAACTCACAGAGTGGAACCTTCCTCTATTCACAGCTGTTTTGAAACATTCTTTTTGTGGAATTTGCAGGTGGAGATTTCAAGCGAATTCACGCCAATCTTAGACATGGAAACATCTTCGTATTAAAAGTACACAGAGTCATTCGCAGAAACTAGTTTGTGATGTGTGCCTTCAACTCACGGAGTTTAACCTTTCTTTTCATAGAGCAGTTTGGAAACACTCTATTTGTAAAGTCTGCAAGTGGATATTTGGACCTCTTTGAGGCCTTCGTTGGAAACGGGATTTCTTCATATAACGCTAGACAGAAGAATTCTCAGTAACTTCTTTGTGTTGTGTGTATTCCACTCACAGAGTTGAACCTTTCTTGAGAGAGAGCAGAGTTGAAACACTCTGTTTGTGGAATTTGCTAGTGCAGATTTCAAACGCTTCGAAGACAGTGATAGAAAAGGATATATCTTCGTATTAAAACTAGACAAAATCATTCTCAGAAAACACTTTGTGATGTGTGTGTTCAACTCACAGAGTTTAACCTTTCTTTAATCGAGCAGTTTGGAAATACACTCTTTGTAAGTCTGCAGCTGGATAATTGTCCCTCTATGAGCCCTTCGTTGGAAACAGGATTTCCTCTTATAATGCTAGACAGAAGAATTCTCAGTCACTTCTTTGTGTTGTGTGTATTCAAGTCACAGAGTTGAACCTTCCTTTAGACAGAGCAGTTTTGAAAAATTCTTTCTGTGGAGTTTGCAAGTGGAGATTTCAAGCGATTTGAGGCTAATCTTTGAAATGGAAATATCTTCGTGTAAAAACTACACAGAATCATTCTCAGAAACTGCTTTGTCATCTGTGCGTTCAGTTCACAGAGTTTCACCTTTCTCTTCATAGAGCAGTTTGGAAAGACTCTGTCTGTAAAGTCTGCAAGTGATTAGTTAGACCCCTTTGAGGCCTTCGTTGGAAGCAGGGATTTCTCATTTACTGCTAGACAGAAGAATTCTCAGTAAATCCTTTGTGTTGTGTGTATTCAACTCACAGAGTGGAACCTTCCTTTATTCAGAGCAGTTTTGAAAAACACTTTTTGTGGAATTTGCAAGTGGAGATTTCAAGCGATTTGACGCCAATCTTAGACATGGAAATATCTTCATATTAAAAGTACACAGAGTCATTCGTAGAAACTAGTTTGTGATGTGTGCCTTCAACTCACAGAGTTTAACCTTTCTTTTCATAGAGCAGTTGGGAAACACTCTATTTGTAAAGTCTGCAAGTGGATATTTGGACCTCTTTGAGGCCTTCGTTGGAAATGGGATTTCTTCATACAACACTAGACAGAAGAATTCTCAGTAACTTCTTTGTGTTGTGTGTATTCCACTCACAGAGTTGAACCTTTCTTGAGAGAGAGCAGAGTTGAAACACTCTGTTTGTGGAATTTGCTAGTGCAGATTTCAAACGCTTCGAAGACAGTGATAGAAAAGGATATATCTTCGTATTAAAACTAGACAAAATCATTCTCAGAAAACACTTTGTGATGTGTGTGTTTAACTCACAGAGTTTAACCTTTCTTTAATCGAGCAGTTTGGAAATACACTCTTTGTAAGTCTGCAGCTGGATAATTGTCCCTCTATGAGCCCTTCGTTGGAAACGGGATTTCCTCTTATAATGCTAGACAGAAGAATTCTCAGTAACTTCTTTGTGTTGTTTGTATTCAACTCACAGATTTGAACCTTCGTTTAGAGAGAGCATGTTTCAAACACTCTTTTTTTGGAATTTGCAAGTGCAGATTTCAAGCTCTTCTAGGCCTATGGCAGAAAAGGGAATATCTTCGTATAAAAACTACACAGAATCATTCTCAACAACTACTTTGTGATGTGTGTGTTCAACTCACAGAGTTTAACCTTTCTTTTCATAGAGCAGTTTGGAAACACTCTGTTTGTAAAGTCTGCAGGTGCTTATTTGGACTTCTTTGAGGCCTTCGTTGGAAACGGGATTTCTTCATATAATGCTAGACAGAAGAATTCTCAGTCACTTCTTTGTGTTGTGTGTATTCAAGTCACAGAGCTGAACCTTCCTTTACACAGAGCAGTTTTGAAAACCTCTTTCTGTGGAATTTGCAAGTGGAGATTTCAAGCGATTTGAGGCTAATCTTTGAAATGGAAATATCTTCGTGTAAAAACTACACAGAATCATTCTCAGAAACTGCTTTGTTATGTGTGCGTTCAGCTCACAGAGTTCCACCTTTCTTTTCATAGAGCAGTTTGGAAAGACTCTGTCTGTAAAGTCTGCAAGTGATTACTTGGACCCCTTTGAGGACTTCGTTGGAAGCGGGATTTTTTCATTTACTGCTAGACAGAAGAATTCTCAGTAAATCCTTTGTGTTGTGTGTATTCAACTCACAGAGTGGAACCTTCCTTTATTCAGAGCAGTTTTGAAACACTCTTTGTGGAATTTGCAAGTGGAGATTTCAAGCGAATTCACGCCAATCTTAGACATGGAAATATCTTCGTATTAAAAGTACACAGAGTCATTCGCAGAAACTAGTTTGTGATGTGTGCCTTCAACTCACGGAGTTTAACCTTTCTTTTCATAGAGCAGTTTGGAAACACTCTATTTGTAAAGTCTGCAAGTGGATATTTGGACCTCTTTGAGGCCTTCGTTGGAAACGGGATTTCTTCATATAACGCTAGACAGAAGAATTCTCAGTAACTTCTTTGTGTTGTGTGTATTCCACTCACAGATTTGAACCTTTCTTGAGAGAGAGCAGAGTTGAAACACTCTGTTTGTGGAATTTGCTAGTGCAGATTTCAAACGCTTCGAAGACAGTGATAGAAAAGGATATATCTTCGTATTAAAACTAGACAAAATCATTCTCAGAAAACACTTTGTGATGTGTGTGTTCAACTCACAGAGTTTAACCTTTCTTTAATCGAGCAGTTTGGAAATACACTCTTTGTAAGTCTGCAGCTGGATAATTGTCCCTCTATGAGCCCTTCGTTGGAAACGGGATTTCCTCTTATAATGCTAGACAGAAGAATTCTCAGTAACTTCTTTGTGTTGTTTGTATTCAACTCACAAGATTTGAACCTTCCTTTGGAGAGAGCAGATTTGAAACACTCTGTTTTTGGAATTTGCAAGTGCAGATTGCAAGCGCTTCTAGGCCTATGGCAGAAAATTAAATATCTTCGTATAAAAACTACACAGAATCATTCTCAGAAAACACTTTGTGATGTGTGTGTTCAACTCACAGAGTTTAACCTTTCTTTAATCGAGCAGTTTGGAAATACACTCTTTGTAAGTCTGCAGCTGGATAATTGTCCCTCTATGAGCCCTTCGTTGGAAACAGGATTTCCTCTTATAATGCTAGACAGAAGAATTCTCAGTCACTTCTTTGTGTTGTGTGTATTCAAGTCACAGAGTTGAACCATCCTTTACACAGAGCAGTTTTGAAAAACTCTTTCTGTGGAATTTGCAAGTGGAGATTTCAAGCGATTTGAGGCTAATCTTTGAAATGGAAATAGCTTCGTGTAAAAACTACACAGAATCATTCTCAGAAACTGCTTTGTTATGTGTGCGTTCAGCTCACAGAGTTCCACCTTTCTTTTCATAGAGCAGTTTGGAAAGACTCTGTCTGTAAAGTCTGCAAGTGATTACTTGGACCCCTTTGAGGACTTCGTTGGAAGCGGGATTTTTTCATTTACTGCTAGACAGAAGAATTCTCAGTAAATCCTTTGTGTTGTGTGTATTCAACTCACAGAGTGGAACCTTCCTTTATTCAGAGCAGTTTTGAAACACTCTTTTTGTGGAATTTGCAAGTGGAGATTTCAAGCGAATTCACGCCCATCTTAGACATGGAAACATCTTCGTATTAAAAGTACACAGAGTCATTCGCAGAAACTAGTTTGTGATGTGTGCGTTCAACTCACAGAGTTTAACCTTTCTTTTCATAGAGCAGTTTGGAAACACTCTGTTTGTAAAGTCTGCAGGTGCTTATTTGGACTTCTTTGAGGCCTTCGTTGGAAACGGGATTTCTTCATATAATGCTAGACAGAAGAATTCTCAGTCACTTCTTTGTGTTGTGTGTATTCAAGTCACAGAGTTGAACCTTCCTTTACACAGAGCAGTTTTGAAAAACTCTTTCTGTGGAATTTGCAAGTGGAGATTTCAAGCGATTTGAGGCTAATCTTTGAAATGGAAATAGCTTCGTGTAAAAACTACACAGAATCATTCTCAGAAACTGTTTTGTTATGTGTGCGTTCAGCTCACAGAGTTCCACCTTTCTTTTCATAGAGCAGTTTGGAAAGACTCTGTCTGTAAAGTCTGCAAGTGATTACTTGGACCCCTTTGAGGACTTCGTTGGAAGCGGGATTTTTTCATTTACTGCTAGACAGAAGAATTCTCAGTAAATCCTTTGTGTTGTGTGTATTCAACTCACAGAGTGGAACCTTCCTTTATTCAGAGCAGTTTTGAAACACTCTTTTTGTGGAATTTGCAAGTGGAGATTTCAAGCGATTTGACGCCAATCTTAGACATGGAAATATCTTCATATTAAAAGTACACAGAGTCATTCGTAGAAACTAGTTTGTGATGTGTGCCTTCAACTCACAGAGTTTAACCTTTCTTTTCATAGAGCAGTTGGGAAACACTCTATTTGTAAAGTCTGCAAGTGGATATTTGGACCTCTTTGAGGCCTTCGTTGGAAACGGGATTTCTTCATATAACGCTAGACAGAAGAATTCTCAGTAACTTCTTTGTGTTGTGTGTATTCAACTCACAGAGTTGAACCTTTCTTTAGAGGGAGCAGAGGTGAAACACTCTTTTTGTGGAATTTGCTAGTGCAGATTTCAAACGCTTCGAAGACAGTGATAGAAAAGGATATACCTTCGTATTAAAAGTAGACAAAATCATTCTCAGAAAACACTTTGTGATGTGTGTGTTCAACTCACAGAGTTTAACCTTTCTTTAATCGAGCAGTTTGGAAATACACTCTTTGTAATTCTGCAGGTGGATAATTGTCCCTCTATGAGCCCTTCGTTGGAAACGGGATTTCCTCATATAATGCTAGACAGAAGAATTCTCAGTCACTTCTTTGTGTTGTGTGTATTCAAGTCACAGAGTTGAACCTTCCTTTACACAGAGCAGTTTTGAAAAACTCTTTCTGTGGAATTTGCAAGTGGAGATTTCAAGCGATTTGAGGCTAATCTTTGAAATGGAAATATCTTCGTGTAAAAACTACACAGAATCATTCTCAGAAACTGCTTTGTTATGTGTGCGTTCAGCTCGCAGAGTTCCACCTTTCTTTTCATAGAGCAGTTTGGAAAGACTCTGTCTGTAAAGTCTGCAAGTGATTACTTGGACCCCTTTGAGGACTTCGTTGGAAGCGGGATTTTTTCATTTACTGCTAGACAGAAGAATTCTCAGTAAATCCTTCGTGTTGTGTGTATTCAACTCACAGAGTGGAACCTTCCTTTATTCAGAGCAGTTTTGAAACACTCTTTTTGTGGAATTTGCAAGTGGAGATTTCAAGCGAATTCACGCCAATCTTAGACATGGAAACATCTTCGTATTAAAAGTACACAGAGTCATTCGCAGAAACTAGTTTGTGATGTGTGCCTTCAACTCACAGAGTTTAAGCTTTCTTTTCATAGAGCAGTTTGGAAACACTCTATTTGTAAAGTCTGCAAGTGGATATTTGGACCTCTTTGAGGCCTTCGTTGGAAACGGGATTTCTTCATATAACGCTAGACAGAAGAATTCTCTGTAACTTCTTTGTGTTGTGTGTATTCCACTCACAGAGTTGAACCTTTCTTGAGAGAGAGCAGAGTTGAAACACTCTTTCTGTGGAATTTGCTAGTGCAGATTTCAAACGCTTCGAAGACAGTGATAGAAAAGAATATATCTTCGTATTAAAACTAGACAAAATCATTCTCAGAAAACACTTTGTGATGTGTGTGTTCAACTCACAGAGTTTAACCTTTCTTTAATCGAGCAGTTTGGAAATGCACTCTTTGTAAGTCTGCAGGTGGATAATTGTCCCTCTATGAGCCCTTCGTTGGAAACGGGATTTCCTCATATAATGCTAGACAGAAGTATTCTCAGTAACTTCTTTGTGTTGTTTGTATTCAACTCACAGATTTGAAACTTCCTTTAGAGGGAGCAGATTTGAAACACTCTGTTTTTGGAATTTGCAAGTGCAGATTGCAAGCGCTTCTAGGCCTATGGCAGAAAAGGAAATATCTTCGTATAAAAACTACACAGAATCATTCTCAACAACTACTTTGTGATGTGTGCGTTCAACTCACAGAGTTTAACCTTTCTTTTCATAGAGCAGTTTGGAAACACTCTGTTTGTAAAGTCTGCAGGTGCTTATTTGGACTTCTTTGAGGCCTTCGTTGGAAACGGGATTTCTTCATATAATGCTAGACAGAAGAATTCTCAGTCACTTCTTTGTGTTGTGTGTATTCAAGTCACAGAGTTGAACCTTCCTTTACACAGAGCAGTTTTGAAAAACTCTTTTTGTGGAATTTGCAAGTGGAGATTTCAAGCGAATTCACGCCAATCTTAGACATGGAAACATCTTCGTATTAAAAGTACACAGAGTCGTTCGCAGAAACTAGTTTGTGATGTGTGCCTTCAACTCACAGAGTTTAAGCTTTCTTTTCATAGAGCAGTTTGGAAACACTCTATTTGTAAAGTCTGCAAGTGGATATTTGGACCTCTTTGAGGCCTTCGTTGGAAACGGGATTTCTTCATATAACGCTAGACAGAAGAATTCTCTGTAACTTCTTTGTGTTGTGTGTATTCCACTCACAGAGTTGAACCTTTCTTGAGAGAGAGCAGAGTTGAAACACTCTTTCTGTGGAATTTGCTAGTGCAGATTTCAAACGCTTCGAAGACAGTGATAGAAAAGGATATATCTTCGTATTAAAACTAGACAAAATCATTCTCAACAACTACTTTGTGATGTGTGCGTTCAACTCACAGAGTTTAACCTTTCTTTTCATAGAGCAGTTTGGAAACACTCTGTTTGTAAAGCCTGCAAGTGCTTTTTTGGACTTCATTGAGGCCTTCGTTGGAAACGGGATTTCTTCATGTAATGCTAGACAGAAGAATTCTCAGTCACTTCTTTGTGTTGTGTGTATTCAAGTCACAGAGTTGAACCTTCCTTTAGACAGAGCAGTTTTGAAAAATTCTTTCTGTGCAATTTGCAAGTGGAGATTTCAAGCGATTTGAGGCTAATCTTTGAAATGGAAATATCTTCGTGTAAAAACTACACAGAATCATTCTCAGAAACTGCTTTGTCATCTGTGCGTTCAGTTCACAGAGTTTCACCTTTCTCTTCATAGAGCAGTTTGGAAAGACTCTGTCTGTAAAGTCTGCAAGTGATTAGTTAGACCCCTTTGAGGCCTTCGTTGGAAGCGGGATTTCTCATTTACTGCTAGACAGAAGAATTCTCAGTAAATCCTTTGTGTTGTGTGTATTCAACTCACAGAGTGGAACCTTCCTTTATTCAGAGCAGTTTTGAAACACTCTTTTTGTGGAATTTGCAAGTGGAGATTTCAAGCGATTTGACGCCAATCTTAGACATGGAAATATCTTCATATTAAAAGTACACAGAGTCATTCGTAGAAACTAGTTTGTGATGTGTGCCTTCAACTCACAGAGTTTAACCTTTCTTTTCATAGAGCAGTTGGGAAACACTCTATTTGTAAAGTCTGCAAGTGGATATTTGGACCTCTTTGAGGCCTTCGTTGGAAACGGGATTTCTTCATATAACGCTAGACAGAAGAATTCTCAGTAACTTCTTTGTGTTGTGTGTATTCAACTCACAGAGTTGAACCTTTCTTTAGAGGGAGCAGAGGTGAAACACTCTTTTTGTGGAATTTGCTAGTGTAGATTTCAAACGCTTCGAAGACAGTGATAGAAAAGGATATATTTTCGTATTAAAAGTAGACAAAATCATTCTCAGAAAACTCTTTGTGATGTGTGTGTTCAACTCACAGAGTTTAACCTTTCTTTAATCGAGCAGTTTGGAAATACACTCTTTGTAAGTCTGCAGGTGGATATTTGGCCCTACTTTGAGCCCTTCGTTGGAAACGGGATTTCCTCATATAATGCTAGACAGAAGAATTCTCAGTAACTTCTTTGTGTTGTTTGTATTCAACACACAGATTTGAACCTTCCTTTAGAGAGAGCAGATTTGAAACACTCTGTTTTTGGAATTTGCAAGTGCAGATTTCAAGCGCTTCTAGGCCTATGGCAGAAAAGGAAATATCTTCGTATAAAAACTACACAGAATCATTCTCAACAACTACTTTGTGATGTGTGCGTTCAACTCACAGAGTTTAACCTTTCTTTTCATAGAGCAGTTTGGAAACACTCTGTTTGTAAAGCCTGCAAGTGCTTTTTTGGACTTCATTGAGGCCTTCGTTGGAAACGGGATTTCTTCATATAATGCTAGACAGAAGAATTCTCAGTCACTTCTTTGTGTTGTGTGTATTCAAGTCACAGAGTTGAACCTTCCTTTAGACAGAGCAGTTTTGAAAAATTCTTTCTGTGGAGTTTGCAAGTGGAGATTTCAAGCGATTTGAGGCTAATCTTTGAAATGGAAATATCTTCGTGTAAAAACTACACAGAATCATTCTCAGAAACTGCTTTGTCATCTGTGCGTTCAGTTCACAGAGTTTCACCTTTCTCTTCATAGAGCAGTTTGGAAAGACTCTGTCTGTAAAGTCTGCAAGTGATTAGTTAGAACCCTTTGAGGCCTTCGTTGGAAGCGGGATTTCTCATTTACTGCTAGACAGAAGAATTCTCAGTAAATCCTTTGTGTTGTGTGTATTCAACTCACAGAGTGGAACCTTCCTTTATTCAGAGCAGTTTTGAAACACTCTTTTTGTGGAATTTGCAAGTGGAGATTTCAAGCGATTTGATGCCAATCTTAGACATGGAAATATCTTCATATTAAAAGTACGCAGAGTCATTCGCAGAAACTAGTTTGTGATGTGTGCCTTCAACTCACAGAGTTTAACCTTTCTTTTCATAGAGCAGTTTGGAAACACTCTATTTGTAAAGTCTGCAAGTGGATATTTGGACCTCTTTGAGGCCTTCGTTGGAAACGGGATTTCTTCATATAACGCTAGACAGAAGAATTCTCAGTAACTTCTTTGTGTTGTGTGTATTCCACTCACAGAGTTGAACCTTTCTTGAGAGAGAGCAGAGTTGAAACACTCTGTTTCTGGAATTTGCTAGTGCAGATTTCAAACGCTTCGAAGACAGTGACAGAAAAGGATATATCTTCGTATTAAAACTAGACAAAATCATTCTCAGAAAACACTTTGTGATGTGTGTGTTCAACTCACAGAGTTTAACCTTTCTTTAATCGAGCAGTTTGGAAATACACTCTTTGTAAGTCTGCAGCTGGATAATTGTCCCTCTATGAGCCCTTCGTTGGAAACGGGATTTCCTCATATAATGCTAGACAGAAGAATTCTCAGTAAGTTCCTTGTATTGTTTGTATTCAACTCACAGATTTGAACTTTCCTTTAGAGAGAGCAGATTTGAAACACTCTGTTTTTGGAATTTGCAAGTGCAGATTGCAAGCGCTTCTAGGCCTATGGCAGAAAAGGAAATATCTTCGTATAAAAACTACACAGAATCATTCTCAGAAAACACTTTGTGATGTGTGTGTTCAACTCACAGAGTTTAACCTTTCTTTAATCGAGCAGTTTGGAAATACACTCTTTGTAAGTCTGCAGCTGGATAATTGTCCCTCTATGAGCCCTTCGTTGGAAACGGGATTTCCTCATATAATGCTAGACAGAAGAATTCTCAGTCACTTCTTTGTGTTGTGTGTATTCAAGTCACAGAGTTGAACCTTCCTTTACACAGAGCAGTTTTGAAAAACTCTTTCTGTGGAATTTGCAAGTGGAGATTTCAAGCGATTTGAGGCTAATCTTTGGAATGGAAATAGCTTCGTGTAAAAACTACACAGAAGCATTCTCAGAAACTGCTTTGTCATCTGTGCGTTCAGTTCACAGAGTTTCACCTTTCTCTTCATAGAGCAGTTTGGAAAGACTCTGTCTTTAAAGTCTGCAAGTGATTAGTTAGACCCCTTTGAGGCCTTCGTTGGAAGCGGGACTTCTCATTTACTGCTAGACAGAAGAATTCTCAGTAAATCCTTTGTGTTGTGGGTATTCAACTCACAGAGTGGAACCTTCCTTTATTCAGAGCAGTTTTGAAACACTCTTTTTGTGGAATTTGCAAGTGGAGATTTCAAGCGATTTGACGCCAATCTTAGACATGGAAATATCTTCATATTAAAAGTACACAGAATCATTCTCAGAAAACACTTTGTGATGTGTGTGTTCAACTCACAGAGTTTAACCTTTCTTTAATCGAGCAGTTTGGAAATACACTCTTTGTAAGTCTGCAGCTGGATAATTGTCCCTACTATGAGCCCTTCGTTGGAAACGGGATTTCCTCATATAATGCTAGACAGAAGAATTCTCATTAACTTCTTTGTGTTGTTTGTATTCAACTCACAGATTTGAACCTTCCTTTAGAGAGAGCAGATTTCAAACACTCTTTTTTTGGAATTTGCAAGTGCAGATTTCAAGCGCTTCTAGGCCTATGGCAGAAAAGGGAATATCGTCGTATGAAAACTACACAGAATCATTCTCAAAAACTACTTTGTGATGTGCGCGTTCAACTCACAGAGTTTAAGCTTTCTTTTCATAGAGCAGTTTGGAAACACTCTGTTTGTAAAGTCTGCAGGTGCTTATTTGGACTTCTTTGAGGCCTTCGTTGGAAACGGGATTTCTTCATATAATGCTAGACAGAAGAATTCTCAGTCACTTCTTTGTGTTGTGTGTATTCAAGTCACAGAGTTGAACTTTCCTTTACACAGAGCAGTTTTGAAAAACTCTTTCTGTGGAATTTGCAAGTGGAGATTTCAAGCGATTTGAGGCTAATACTTTGAAATGGAAATAGCTTCGTGTAAAAACTACACAGAATCATTCTCAGAAACTGCTTTGTTATGTGTGCGTTCAACTCACAGAGTTTCACCTTTCCTTTCATAGAGCAGTTTGGAAAGACTCTGTCTGTAAACTCTGCAAGTGAATACTTGGACCCCTTTGAGGACTTCGTTGGAAGCTTCATTTTTTCACTTACTGCTAGACAGAAGAATTCTCAGTAAATCCTTTGTGTTATGTGTATTCAACTCACAGAGTTGAACCTTCCTTTATTCAGAGCAGTTTTGAAACACTCTTTTTGTGGAATTTGCAAGTGGAGATTTCAAGCGATTTGACGCCAATTTAGACATGGAAATATCTTCGTATTAAAAGTACACAGAGTCATTCGCAGAAACTAGTTTGTGATGTGTGCCTTCAACTCACGGAGTTTAACCTTTCTTTTCATAGAGCAGTTTGGAAACACTCTATTTGTAAAGTCTGCAAGTGGATATTTGGACGTCTTTGAGGCCTTCGTTGGAAACGGGATTTCTTCATATAACGCTAGACAGAAGAATTCTCAGTAACTTCTTTGTGTTGTTTGTATTCAACTCACAGATTTGAACCTTCCTTTAGAGAGAGCAGATTTGAAACACTCTGTTTTTGGAATTTGCAAGTGCAGATTTCAAGCGCTTCTAGGCCTATGGCAGAAAAGGAAATATCTTCGTATAAAAACTACACAGAATCATTCTCAACAACTACTTTGTGATGTGTGCGTTCAACTCACAGAGTTTAACCTTTCTTTTCATAGAGCAGTTTGGAAACACTCTGTTTGTAAAGCCTGCAAGTGCTTTTTTGGACTTCATTGAGGCCTTCGTTGGAAACGGGATTTCTTCATATAATGCTAGACAGAAGAATTCTCAGTCACTTCTTTGTGTTGTGTGTATTCAAGTCACAGAGTTGAACCTTCCTTTAGACAGAGCAGTTTTGAAAAATTCTTTCTGTGGAGTTTGCAAGTGGAGATTTCAAGCGATTTGAGGCTAATCTTTGAAATGGAAATATCTTCGTGTAAAAACTACACAGAATCATTCTCAGAAACTGCTTTGTCATCTGTGCGTTCAGTTCACAGAGTTTCACCTTTCTCTTCATAGAGCAGTTTGGAAAGACTCTGTCTGTAAAGTCTGCAAGTGATTAGTTAGACCCCTTTGAGGCCTTCGTTGGAAGCGGGATTTCTCATTTACTGCTAGACAGAAGAATTCTCAGTAAATCCTTTGTGTTGTGTGTATTCAACTCACAGAGTGGAACCTTCCTTTATTCAGAGCAGTTTTGAAAAACACTTTTTGTGGAATTTGCAAGTGGAGATTTCAAGCGATTTGACGCCAATCTTAGACATGGAAATATCTTCATATTAAAAGTACACAGAGTCATTCTTAGAAACTAGTTTGTGAAGTGTGCCTTCAACTCACAGAGTTTAACCTTTCTTTTCATAGAGCAGTTTAGAAACACTCTATTTCTAAAGTCTGCAAGTGGATATTTGGACCTCTTTGAGGCCTTCGTTGGAAACGGGATTTCTTCATATAGCGCTAGACAGAAGAATTCTCAGTAACTTCTTTGTGTTGTGTGTATTCAACTCACAGAGTTGAAACTTTCTTGAGAGAGAGCAGAGTGGAAACACTCTTTTTGTGGAATTTGCTAGTGCAGATTTCAAACGCTTCGAAGACAGTGATAGAAAAGGATATATCTTCGTATTAAAACTAGACAAAATCATTCTCAACAACTACTTTGTGATGTGTGCGTTCAACTCACAAAGTTTAACCTTTCTTTTCATAGAGAAGTTTGGAAACACTCTGTTTGTAAAGCCTGCAAGAGCTTTTTTGGACTTCATTGAGGCCTTCGTTGGAAACGGGATTTCTTCATATATTGCTAGACAGAAGAATTCTCAGTAAATCATTTGTGTTGCGTTTATTCAACTCACAGAGTGGAACCTTCCTTTATTCAGAGCAGTTTTGAAACACTCTTTTTGTGGAATTTGCAAGTGGAGATTTCAAGCGATTTGACGCCAATCTTAGACATGGAAATATCTTCATATTAAAAGTACACAGAATCATTCGTAGAAACTAGTTTGTGATGTGTGCCTTCAACTCACAGAGTTTAACCTTTCTTTTCATAGAGCAGTTCGGAAACACTCTATTTGTAAAGTCTGCAAGTGGATATTTGGACCTCTTTGAGGCCATCGTTGGAAAAGGGATTTCTTCATATAACGCTAGACAGAAGAATTTTCAGTAACTTCTTTGTGTTGTGTGTATTCAACTCACAGAGTTCAACTTTTCTTTAGAGAGAGCAGAGTTGAAACACTCTTTTTGTGGAATTTGCTAGTGCAGATTTCAAACGCTTCGAAGACAGTGATAGCAAAGGATATATCTTCGTATTAAAACTAGACAAAATCATTCTCAGAAAACACTTTGTGATGTGTGTGTTCAACTCACAGAGTTTAACCTTTCTTTAATCGAGCAGTTTGGAAATACACTCTTTGTAAGTCTGCAGGTGGATAATTGGCCCTCTTTGAGCCCTCGTTGGAAACGGGATTTCCTCATATAATGCTAGACAGAAGAATTCTCATTAAATCCTTTGTGTTGTGTGTATTCAACTCACAGAGTTGAACCTTCCTTTATTCAGAGCAGTTTTGAAACACTCTTTTTGTGGAATTTGCAAGTGGAGATTTCAAGCGATTTGAGGCTAATCTTTGAAATGGAAATATCTTCGTGTAAAAACTGCACAGAATCATTCTCAGAAACTGCTTTGTTATGAGTGCGTTCAGTTCACAGAGTTTCACTTTTCTCTTCATAGAGCAGTTTGGAAAGACTCTGTCTGTAAAGTCTGCAAGTGATTAGTTAGACCCCTTTGAGGCCTTCGTTGGAAGCGGGATTTCTCATTTACTGCTAGACAGAAGAATTCTCAGTAAATCCTTTGTGTTGTGTGTATTCAACTCACAGAGTTGAACCTTCCTTTATTCAGAGAAGTTTTGAAAAACACTTTTTGTGGAATTTGCAAGTGGAGATTTCAAGCGATTTGACGCCAATCTTAGACGTGGAAATATCTTCATATTAAAAGTACACAGAGTCATTCTTAGAAACTAGTTTGTGAAGTGTGCCTTCAACTCACAGAGTTTAACCTTTCTTTTCATAGAGCAGTTTAGAAACACTCTATTTCTAAAGTCTGCAAGTGGATATTTGGACCTCTTTGAGGCCTTCGTTGGAAACGGGATTTCATCATATAACGCTAGACAGAAGAATTCTCAGTAACTTCTTTGTGTTGTGTGTATTCAACTCACAGAGTTGAACCTTTCTTGAGAGAGAGCAGAGTGGAAACACTCTTTTTGTGGAATTTGCTAGTGCAGATTTCAAACGCTTCGAAGACAGTGATAGAAAAGGATATATCTTCGTATTAAAACTAGACAAAATCATTCGCAGAAAACACTTTGTGATGTGTGTGTTCAACTCACAGAGTTTAACCTTTCTTAGTCGAGCAGTTTGGAAATACACTCTTTGTAAGTCTGCTGGTGGATAATTGGCCCTCTTTGAGCCCTTCATTGGAAATGGGATTTCCTCATATAATGCTAGACAGAAGAATTCTCAGTCACTTCTTTGTGTTGTGTGTATTCAAGTCACAGAGTTGAACCATCCTTTACACAGAGCAGTTTTGAAAAACTCTTTCTGTGGAATTTGCAAGTGGAGATTTCAAGCGATTTGAGGCTAATCTTTGAAATGGAAATAGCTTCGTGTAAAAACTACACAGAATCATTGTCAGAAACTGCTTTGTTATGTGTGCGTTCAGCTCACAGAGTTCCACCTTTCTTTTCATAGAGCAGTTTGGAAAGACTCTGTCTGTAAAGTCTGCAAGTGATTACTTGGACCCCTTTGAGGACTTCGTTGGAAGCGGGATTTTTTCATTTACTGCTAGACAGAAGAATTCTCAGTAAATCCTTTGTGTTGTGTGTATTCAACTCACAGAGTGGAACCTTCCTTTATTCAGAGCAGTTTTGAAACACTCTTTTTGTGGAAATTGCAAGTGGAGATTTCAAGCGAATTCACGCCAATCTTAGACATGGAAACATCTTCGTATTAAAAGTACACAGAGTCATTCGCAGAAACTAGTTTGTGATGTGTGCCTTCAACTCACGGAGTTTAACCTTTCTTTTCATAGAGCAGTTTGGAAACACTCTCTTTGTAAAGTCTGCAAGTGGATATTTGGACCTCTTTGAGGCCTTCGTTGGAAACGGGATTTCTTCATATAACGCTAGACAGAAGAATTCTCAGTAACTTCTTTGTGTTGTGTGTATTCCACTCACAGAGTTGAACCTTTCTTGAGAGAGAGCAGAGTTGAAACACTCTTTCTGTGGAATTTGCTAGTGCAGATTTCAAACGCTTCGAAGACAGTGATAGAAAAGGATATATCTTCGTATTAAAACTAGACAAAATCATTCTCAGAAAACACTTTGTGATGTGTGTGTTCAACTCACAGAGTTTAACCTTTCTTTAATCGAGCAGTTTGGAAATACACTCTTTGTAAGTCTGCAGCTGGATAATTGTCCCTCTATGAGCCCTTCGTTGGAAACGGGATTTCCTCTTATAATGCTAGACAGAAGAATTCTCAGTCACTTCTTTGTGTTGTGTGTATTCAAGTCACAGAGTTGAACCTTCCTTTAGACAGAGCAGTTTTGAAAAATTCTTTCTGTGGAGTTTGCAAGTGGAGATTTCCAGCGATTTGAGGCTAATCTTTGAAATGGAAATATCTTCGTGTAAAAACTACACAGAATCATTCTCAGAAACTGCTTTGTCATCTGTGCGTTCAGTTCACAGAGTTTCACCTTTCTCTTCATAGAGCAGTTTGGAAAGACTCTGTCTGTAAAGTCTGCAAGTGATTAGTTAGACCCCTTTGAGGCCTTCGTTGGAAGCGGGATTTCTCATTTACTGCTAGACAGAAGAATTCTCAGTAAATCCTTTGTGTTGTGTGTATTCAACTCACAGAGTGGAACCTTCCTTTATTCAGAGCAGTTTTGAAAAACACTTTTTGTGGAATTTGCAAGTGGAGATTTCAAGCGATTTGACGCCAATCTTAGACATGGAAATATCTTCATATTAAAAGTACACAGAGTCATTCGTAGAAACTAGTTTGTGATGTGTGCCTTCAACTCACAGAGTTTAACCTTTCTTTTCATAGAGCAGTTTGGAAACACTCTATTTGTAAAGTCTGCAAGTGGATATTTGGACCTCTTTGAGGCCTTCGTTGGAAACGGGATTTCCTCATATAATGCTAGACAGAAGAATTCTCAGTAACTTCTTTGTGTTGTGTGTATTCAACTCACAGAGTTGAACCTTTCTTTAGAGAGAGCAGAGTTGAAACACTCTGTTTTTGGAATTTGCAAGTGCAGATTTCAAGCGATTCTAGGCCTATGGCAGAAAAGGAAATATCTTCGTATAAAAACTACACAGAATCATTCTCAACAACTACTTTGTGATGTGTGCGTTCAACTCACAGAGTTTAACCTTTCTTTTCATAGAGCAGTTTGGAAACACTCTGTTTGTAAAGCCTGCAAGTGCCTTTTTGGACTTCATTGAGGCCTTCGTTGGAAACGGGATTTCTTCATATAATGCTAGACAGAAGAATTCTCAGTCACTTCTTTGTGTTGTGTGTATTCAAGTCACAGAGTTGAACCTTCCTTTAGACAGAGCAGTTTTGAAAAATTCTTTCTGTGTAATTTGCAAGTGGAGATTTCAAGCGATTTGAGGCTAATCTTTGAAATGGAAATATCTTCGTGTAAAAACTACACGGGAATCATTCTCAGAAACTGCTTTGTCATCTGTGCGTTCAGTTCACAGAGTTTCACCTTTCTCTTCATAGAGCAGTTTGGAAAGACTCTGTCTGTAAAGTCTGCAAGTGATTAGTTAGACCCCTTTGAGGCCTTCGTTGGAAGCGGGATTTCTCATTTACTGCTAGACAGAAGAATTCTCAGTAAATCGTTTGTGTTGTGTGTATTCAACTCACAGAGTGGAACCTTCCTTTATTCAGAGCAGTTTTGAAAAACACTTTTTGTGGAATTTGCAAGTGGAGATTTCAAGCGATTTGACGCCAATCTTAGACATGGAAATATCTTCATATTAAAAGTACACAGAATCATTCGTAGAAACTAGTTTGTGATGTGTGCCTTCAACTCACAGAGTTTAACCTTTCTTTTCATAGAGCAGTTCGGAAACACTCTATTTGTAAAGTCTGCAAGTGGATATTTGGACCTCTTTGAGGCCATCGTTGGAAAAGGGATTTCTTCATATAACGCTAGACAGAAGAATTTTCAGTAACTTCTTTGTGTTGTGTGTATTCAACTCACAGAGTTCAACTTTTCTTTAGAGAGAGCAGAGTTGAAACACTCTTTTTGTGGAATTTGCTAGTGCAGATTTCAAACGCTTCGAAGACAGTGATAGCAAAGGATATATCTTCGTATTAAAACTAGACAAAATCATTCTCAGAAAACACTTTGTGATGTGTGTGTTCAACTCACACAGTTTAACCTTTCTTTAATCGAGCAGTTTGGAAATACACTCTTTGTAAGTCTGCAGGTGGATAATTGGCCCTCTTTGAGCCCTTCGTTGGAAACGGGATTTCCTCATATAATGCTAGACAGAAGAATTCTCAGTAACTTCTTTGTGTTGTTTGTATTCAACTCACAGATTTGAACCTTCCTTTAGAGAGAGCAGATTTGAAACACTCTGTTTTTGGAATTTGCAAGTGCAGATTTCAAGCGCTTCTAGGCCTATGGCAGAAAAGGAAATATCTTCGTATAAAAACTACACAGAATCATTATCAACAACTACTTTGTGATGTGTGCGTTCAACTCACAGAGTTTAACCTTTCTTTTCTTAGAGCAGTTTGGAAACACTCTGTTTGTAAAGCCTGCAAGTGCTTTTTTGGACTTCATTGAGGCCTTCGTTGGAAACGGGATTTCTTCATATAATGCTAGACAGAAGAATTCTCAGTCACTTCTTTGTGTTGTGTGTATTCAAGTCACAGAGTTGAACCTTCCTTTACACAGTAGCAGTTTTGAAAAACTCTTCCTGTGGAATTTGCAAGTGGAGATTTCAAGCGATTTGAGGCTAATCTTTGAAATGGAAACATCTTCGTGTAAAAACTACACAGAATCATTGTCAGAAACTGCTTTGTTATGTGTGCGTTCAGCTCACAGAGTTCCACCTTTCTTTTCATAGAGCAGTTTGGAAAGACTCTGTCTGTAAAGTCTGCAAGTGATTACTTGGACCCCTTTGAGGACTTCGTTGGAAGCGGGATTTTTTCATTTACTGCTAGACAGAAGAATTCTCAGTAAATCCTTTGTGTTGTGTGTATTCAACTCACAGAGTGGAACCTTCCTTTATTCAGAGCAGTTTTGAAACACTCTTTTTGTGGAATTTGCAAGTGGAGATTTCAAGCGAATTCACGCCAATCTTAGACATGGAAACATCTTCGTATTAAAAGTACACAGAGTCATTCGCAGAAACTAGTTTGTGATGTGTGCCTTCAACTCACGGAGTTTAACCTTTCTTTTCATAGAGCAGTTTGGAAACACTCTATTTGTAAAGTCTGCAAGTGGATATTTGGACCTCTTTGAGGCCTTCGTTGGAAATGGGATTTCTTCATATAACGCTAGACAGAAGAATTCTCAGTAACTTCTTTGTGTTGTTTGTATTCAACTCACAGATTTGAACCTTCCTTTAGAGAGAGCAGATTTGAAACACTCTGTTTTTGGAATTTGCAAGTGCAGATTTCAAGCGCTTCTAGGCCTATGGCAGAAAAGGAAATATCTTCATATAAAAACTACACAGAATCATTCTCAACAACTACTTTGTGATGTGTGCGTTCAACTCACAGAGTTTAACCTTTCTTTTCATAGAGCAGTTTGGAAACACTCTGTTTGTAAAGCCTGCAAGTGCTTTTTTGGACTTCATTGAGGCCTTCGTTGGAAACGGGATTTCTTCATATAATGCTAGACAGAAGAATTCTCAGTCACTTCTTTGTGTTGTTTGTATTGAAGTCACAGAGTTGAACCTTCCTTTAGACAGAGCAGTTTTGAAAAATTCTTTCTGTGGAATTTGCAAGTGGAGATTTCAAGCGATTTGAGGCTAATCTTTGAAATGGAAATATCTTCGTGTAAAAACTACACAGAATCATTCTCAGAAACTGCTTTGTCATCTGTGCGTTCAGTTCACAGAGTTTCACCTTTCTCTTCATAGAGCAGTTTGGAAAGACTCTGTCTGTAAAGTCTGCAAGTGATTAGTTAGACCCCTTTGAGGCCTTCGTTGGAAGCGGGATTTCTCATTTACTGCTAGACAGAAGAATTCTCAGTAAATCCTTTGTGTTGTGTGTATTCAACTCACAGAGTGGAACCTTCCTTTATTCAGAGCAGTTTTGAAAAACACTTTTTGTGGAATTTGCAAGTGGAGATTTCAAGCGATTTGACGCCAATCTTAGACATGGAAATATCTTCATATTAAAAGTACACAGAGTCATTCGTAGAAACTAGTTTGTGATGTGTGCCTTCAACTCACAGAGTTTAACCTTTCTTTTCATAGAGCAGTTGGGAAACACTCTATTTGTAAAGTCTGCAAGTGGATATTTGGACCTCTTTGAGGCCTTCGTTGGAAACGGGATTTCTTCATATAACGCTAGACAGAAGAATTCTCAGTAACTTCTTTGTGTTGTTTGTATTCAACTCACAGAGTTGAACCTTTCTTTAGAGAGAGCAGAGTTGAAACACTCTTTTTGTGGAATTTGCTAGTGCAGATTTCAAACGCTTCGAAGACAGTGATAGAAAAGGATATATCTTCGTATTAAAACTAGCCAAAATCATTCTCAGAAAACACTTTGTGATGTGTGTGTTCAACTCACAGAGTTTAACCTTTCTTTAATCGAGCAGTTTGGAAATACACTCTTTGTAAGTCTGCAGGTGGATAATTGGCCCTCTTTGAACCCTTCTTTGGAAACGGGATTTCCTCATATAATGCTAGACAGAAGAATTCTCAGTCACTTCTTTGTGTTGTGTGTATTCAAGTCACAGAGTTGAACCTTCCTTTACACAGAGCAGTTTTGAAAAACTCTTTCTGTGGAATTTGCAAGTGGAGATTTCAAGCGATTTGAGGCTAATCTTTGAAATGGAAATAGCTTCGTGTAAAAACTACACAGAATCATTGTCAGAAACTGCTTTGTTATGTGTGCGTTCAGCTCACAGAGTTCCACCTTTCTTTTCATAGAGCAGTTTGGAAAGACTCTGTCTGTAAAGTCTGCAAGTGATTACTTGGACCCCTTTGAGGACTTCGTTGGAAGCGGGATTTTTTCATTTACTGCTAGACAGAAGAATTCTCAGTAAATCCTTTGTGTTGTGTGTATTCAACTCACAGAGTGGAACCTTCCTTTATTCAGAGCAGTTTTGAAACACTCTTTTTGTGGAATTTGCAAGTGGAGATTTCAAGCGAATTCACGCCAATCTTAGACATGGAAACATCTTCGTATTAAAAGTACACAGAGTCATTCGCAGAAACTAGTTTGTGATGTGTGCGTTCAACTCACAGAGTTTAACCTTTCTTTTCATAGAGCAGTTTGGAAACACTCTATTTGTAAAGTCTGCAAGTGGATATTTGGACCTCTTTGAGGCCTTCGTTGGAAACGGGATTTCTTCATATAACGCTAGACAGAAGAATTCTCAGTAACTTCTTTGTGTTGTGTGTATTCAACTCACAGAGTTGAACCTTTCTTTAGAGAGAGCAGAGTTGAAACACTCTTTTTGTGGAATTTGCTAGTGCAGATTTCAAACGCTTCGAAGACAGTGATAGCAAAGGATATATCTTCGTATTAAAACTAGACAAAATCATTCTCAACAACTACTTTGTGATGTGTGCGTTCAACTCACAGAGTTTAACCTTTCTTTTCATAGAGCAGTTTGGAAACACTCTGTTTGTAAAGTCTGCAGGTGCTTATTTGGACTTCTTTGAGGCCTTCGTTGGAAACGGGATTTCTTCATATAATGCTAGACAGAAGAATTCTCAGTCACTTCTTTGTGTTGTGTGTATTCAAGTCACAGAGTTGAACCTTCCTTTACACAGAGCAGTTTTGAAAAACTCTTTCTGTGGAATTTGCAAGTGGAGATTTCAAGCGATTTGAGGCTAATCTTTGAAATGGAAATATCTTCGTGTAAAAACTACACAGAATCATTCTCAGAAACTGCTTTGTTATGTGTGCGTTCAGCTCGCAGAGTTCCACCTTTCTTTTCATAGAGCAGTTTGGAAAGACTCTGTCTGTAAAGTCTGCAAGTGATTACTTGGACCCCTTTGAGGACTTCGTTGGAAGCGGGATTTTTTCATTTACTGCTAGACAGAAGAATTCTCAGTAAATCCTTCGTGTTGTGTGTATTCAACTCACAGAGTGGAACCTTCCTTTATTCAGAGCAGTTTTGAAACACTCTTTTTGTGGAATTTGCAAGTGGAGATTTCAAGCGAATTCACGCCAATCTTAGACATGGAAACATCTTCGGTATTAAAAGTACACAGAGTCATTCGTAGAAACTAGTTTGTGATGTGTGCCTTCAACTCACAGAGTTTAACCTTTCTTTTCATAGAGCAGTTTGGAAACACTCTATTTGTAAAGTCTGCAAGTGGATATTTGGACCTCTTTGAGGCCTTCGTTGGAAACGGGATTTCTTCATACAACGCTAGACAGAAGAATTCTCAGTAACTTCTCTGTGTTGTTTGTATTCAACTCACAGATTTGAACCTTCCTTTATAGAGAGCAGATTTGAAACACTCTGTTTTTGGAATTTGCAAGTGCAGATTTCAAGCACTTCTAGGCCTATGGCAGAAAAGGAAATATCTTCGTATAAAAACTACACAGAATCATTCTCAACAACTACTTTGTGATGTGTGCGTTCAACTCACAGAGTTTAACCTTTCTTTTCATAGAGCAGTTTGGAAACACTCTGTTTGTAAAGCCTGCAAGTGCTTTTTTGGACTTCATTGAGGCCTTCGTTGGAAACGGGATTTCTTCATACAACGCTAGACAGAAGAATTCTCAGTAACTTCTTTGTGTTGTGTGTATTCAACTCACAGAGTTGAACCTTCCTTTAGAGAGAGCAGAGTTGAAACACTCTGTTTTTGGAATTTGCAAGTGCAGATTTCAAGCGCTTCTAGGCCTATGGCAGAAAAGGAAATATCTTCGTATAAAAACTACACAGAGTCATTCGCAGAAACTAGTTTGTGATGTGTGCGTTCAACTCACAGAGTTTAACCTTTCTTTTCATAGAGCAGTTTGGAAACACTCTGTTTGTAAAGTCTGCAGGTGCTTATTTGGACTTCTTTGAGGCCTTCATTGGAAACGGGATTTCTTCATATAATGCTAGACAGAAGAATTCTCAGTCACTTCTTTGTGTTGTGTGTATTCAAGTCACAGAGTTGAACCTTCCTTTACACAGAGCAGTTTTGAAAAACTCTTTCTGTGGAATTTGCAAGTGGAGATTTCAAGCAATTTGAGGCTAATCTTTGAAATGGAAATATCTTCGTGTAAAAACTACACAGAATCATTCTCAGAAACTGCTTTGTTATGTGTGCGTTCAGCTCACAGAGTTCCACCTTTCTTTTCATAGAGCAGTTTGGAAAGACTCTGTCTGTAAAGTCTGCAAATGATTACTTGGACCCCTTTGAGGACTTCGTTGGAAGCGGGATTTTTTCATTTACTGCTAGACAGAAGAATTCTCAGTAAATCCTTTGTGTTGTGTGTATTCAACTCACAGAGTGGAACCTTCCTTTATTCAGAGCAGTTTTGAAACACTCTTTTTGTGGAATTTGCAAGTGGAGATTTCAAGCGAATTCACGCCAATCTTAGACATGGAAACATCTTCGTATTAAAAGTACACAGAGTCATTCGCAGAAACTAGTTTGTGATGTGTGCCTTCAACTCACGGAGTTTAACCTTTCTTTTCATAGAGCAGTTTGGAAACACTCTATTTGTAAAGTCTGCAAGTGGATATTTGGACCTCTTTGAGGCCTTCGTTGGAAACGGGATTTCTTCATATAACGCTAGACAGAAGAATTCTCCGTAACTTCTTTGTGTTGTGTGTATTCCACTCACAGAGTTGAACCTTTCTTGAGAGAGAGCAGAGTTGAAACACTCTGTTTGTGGAATTTGCTAGTGCCGATTTCAAACGCTTCGAAGACAGTGATAGAAAAGGATATATCTTCGTATTAAAACTAGACAAAATCATTCTCAGAAAACACTTTGTGATGTGTGTGTTCAACTCACAGAGTTTAACCTTTCTTTAATCGAGCAGTTTGGAAATACACTCTTTGTAAGTCTGCAGCTGGATAATTGTCCCTCTATGAGCCCTTCGTTGGAAACAGGATTTCCTCTTATAATGCTAGACAGAAGAATTCTCAGTCACTTCTTTGTGTTGTGTGTATTCAAGTCACAGAGTTGAACCTTCCTTTACACAGAGCAGTTTTGAGAAACTCTTTCTGTGGAATTTGCAAGTGGAGATTTCAAGCGATTTGAGGCTAATCTTTGAAATGGAAATATCTTCGTGCAAAAACTACACAGAATCATTCTCAGAAACTGCTTTGTCATCTGTGCGTTCAGTTCACAGAGTTTCACCTTTCTCTTCATAGAGCAGTTTGGAAAGACTCTGTCTGTAAAGTCTGCAAGTGATTAGTTAGACCCCTTTGAGGCCTTCGTTGGAAGCGGGATTTCTCATTTACTGCTAGACAGAAGAATTCTCAGTAAATCCTTTGTGTTGTGTGTATTCAACTCACAGAGTGGAACCTTCCTTTATTCAGAGCAGTTTTGAAACACTCTTTTTGTGGAATTTGCAAGTGGAGATTTCAAGCGATTTGACGCCAATCTTAGACATGGAAATATCTTCATATTAAAAGTACACAGAGTCATTCGTAGAAACTAGTTTGTGATGTGTGCCTTCAACTCACAGAGTTTAACCTTTCTTTTCATAGAGCAGTTGGGAAACACTCTATTTGTAAAGTCTGCAAGTGGATATTTGGACCTCTTTGAGGCCTTCGTTGGAAACGGGATTTCTTCATATAACGCTAGACAGAAGAATTCTCAGTAACTTCTTTGTGTTGTGTGTATTCAACTCACAGAGTTGAACCTTTCTTTAGAGGGAGCAGAGGTGAAACACTCTTTTTGTGGAATTTGCTAGTGTAGATTTCAAACGCTTCGAAGACAGTGATAGAAAAGGATATATCTTCGTATTAAAAGTAGACAAAATCATTCTCAGAAAACTCTTTGTGATTTGTGTGTTCAACTCACAGAGTTTAACCTTTCTTTTCATAGAGCAGTTTGGAAACACTCTGTTTGTAAAGCCTGCAAGTGCTTTTTTGGACTTCATTGAGGCCTTCGTTGGAAACGGGATTTCTTCATACAACGCTAGACAGAAGAATTCTCAGTAACTTCTTTGTGTTGTGGGTATTCAACTCACAGAGTTGAACCTTTCTTTAGAGAGAGCAGAGTTGAAACACTCTGTTTTTGGAATTTGCAATTGCAGATTTCATGCGCTTCTAGGCCTATGGCAGAAAAGGAAATATCTTCGTATAAAAACTACACAGAATCATTCTCAACAACTACTTTGTGATGTGTGCGTTCAACTCACAGAGTTTAACCTTTCTTTTCATAGAGCACTTTGGAAACACTCTGTTTGTAAAGCCTGCAAGTGCTTTTTTGGACTTCATTGAGGCCTTCGTTGGAAACGGGATTTCTTCATACAACGCTAGACAGAAGAATTCTCAGTAACTTCTTTGTGTTGTGTGTATTCAACTCACAGAGTTGAACCTTCCTTTAGAGAGAGCAGAGTTGAAACACTCTGTGTTTGGAATTTGCAAGTGCAGATTTCAAGCGCTTCTAGGCCTATGGCAGAAAAGGAAATATCTTCGTATAAAAACTACACAGAATCATTCTCAACAACTACTTTGTGATGTGTGCGTTCAACTCACAGAGGTTAACCTTTCTTTTCAGAGAGCAGTTTGGAAACACTCTGTTTGTAAAGCCTGCAAGTCCTTTTTTGGACTTCATTGAGGCCTTCGTTGGAAACGGGATTTCTTCATACAACGCTAGACAGAAGAATTCTCAGTAACTTCTTTGTGTTGTGTGTATTCAACTCACAGAGTTGAACCTTTCTTTAGAGAGAACAGAGTTGAAACACTCTGTTTTTGGAATTTGCAAGTGCAGATTTCAAGCGATTCTAGGCCTATGGCAGAAAAGGAAATATCTTCGTAGAAAAACTACACAGAATCATTCTCAAGAACTACTTTGTGATGTGTGCGTTCAACTCACAGATTTTAACCTTTCTTTTAATCGAGCAGTTTGGAAACACTCTGTTTGTAAAGTCTGCAAGTGCATATTTGGACTTCTTTGAGGCCTTCGTTGGAAACGGGATTTCTTCATATACTGCTAGACAGAAGAATTCTCAGTCACTTCTTTGTGTTGTGTGTATTCAAGTCACAGAGTTGAACCTTCATTTAGACAGAGCAGTTTTGAAAAACTCTTTCTGTGGAATTTGCAAGTGGAGATTACATGCGATTTAAGGCCAATCTTTGAAATGGAAATATCTCCGCGTAAAAACTAGACAGAATCATTCTCAGAAACTGCTTTGTCATCTGTGCGTTCAGTTCACAGAGTTTCACCTTTCTCTTCATAGAGCAGTTTGGAAAGACTCTGTCTGTAAAGTCTGCAAGTGATTAGTTAGACCCCTTTGAGGCCTTCGTTGGAAGCGGGATTTCTCATTTACTGCTAGACAGAAGAATTCTCAGTAAATCCTTTGTGTTGTGTGTATTCAACTCACAGAGTGGAACCTTCCTTTATTCAGAGCAGTTTTGAAAAACACTTTTTGTGGAATTTGCAAGTGGAGATTTCAAGCGATTTGACGCCAATCTTAGACATGGAAATATCTTCATATTAAAAGTACACAGAGTCATTCGTAGAAACTAGTTTGTGATGTGTGCCTTCAACTCACAGGGTTTAACCTTTCTTTTCATAGAGCAGTTTGGAAACACTCTATTTGTAAAGTCTGCAAGTGGATATTTGGACCTCTTTGAGGCCTTCGTTGGAAACGGGATTTCTTCATACAACGCTAGACAGAAGAATTCTCAGTAACTTCTTTGTGTTGTGTGTATTTAACTCACAGAGTTGAACCTTTCTTTAGAGAGAGCAGAGTTGAAACACTCTGTTTTTGGAATTTGCAACTGCAGATTTCAAGCGATTCTAGGCCTATGGCAGAAAAGGAAATATCTTCGTATAAAAACTACACAGAATCATTCTCAACAACTACTTTGTGATGTGTGCGTTCAACTCACAGAGTTTAACCTTTCTTTTCATAGAGCAGTTTGGAAACACTCTGTTTGTAAAGCCTGCAAGTGCTTTTTTTGACTTCATTGAGGCCTTCGTTGGAAACGGGATTTCTTCATATAATGCTAGACAGAAGAATTCTCAGTCACTTCTTTGTGTTGTGTGTATTCAAGTCACAGAGTTGAACCTTCCTTTAGACAGAGCAGTTTTGAAAAATTCTTTCTGTGTAATTTGCAAGTGGAGATTTCAAGCGATTTGAGGCTAATCTTTGAAATGGAAATATCTTCGTGTAAAAACTACACAGAATCATTCTCAGAAACTGCTTTGTCATCTGTGCGTTCAGTTCACAGAGTTTCACCTTTCTCTTCATAGAGCAGTTTGGAAAGACTCTGTCTGTAAAGTCTGCAAGTGATTAGTTAGACCCCTTTGAGGCCTTCGTTGGAAGCGGGATTTCTCATTTACTGCTAGACAGAAGAATTCTCAGTAAATCCTTTGTGTTGTGTGTATTCAACTCACAGAGTGGAACCTTCCTTTATTCAGAGCAGTTTTGAAACACTCTTTTTGTGGAATTTGCAAGTGGAGATTTCAAGCGATTTGACGCCAATCTTAGACATGGAAATATCTTCATATTAAAAGTACACAGAGTCATTCGTAGAAACTAGTTTGTGATGTGTGCCTTCAACTCACAGAGTTTAACCTTTCTTTTCATAGAGCAGTTTGGAAACACTCTATTTGTAAAGTCTGCAAGTGGATATTTGGACCTCTTTGAGGCCTTCGTTGGAAACGGGATTTCTTCATACAACGCTAGACAGAAGAATTCTCAGTAACTTCTTTGTGTTGTGTGTATTCAACTCACAGAGTTGAACCTTTCTTTAGAGAGAGCAGAGTTGAAACACTCTGTTTTTGGAATTTGCAAGTGCAGATTTCAAGCGATTCTAGGCCTATGGCAGAAAAGGAAATATCTTCGTATAAAAACTACACAGAATCATTCTCAACAACTACTTTGTGATGTGTGCGTTCAACTCACAAAGTTTAACCTTTCTTTTCATAGAGCAGTTTGGAAACACTCTGTTTGTAAAGCCTGCAATTGCTTTTTTGGACTTCATTGAGGCCTTCGTTGGAAAAGGGATTTCTTCATACAATGCTAGACAGAAGAATTCTCAGTAAATCCTTTGTGTTGTGTGTATTCAACTCACAGATTGGAAACTTCCTTTATTCAGAGCAGTTTTGAAACACTCTTTTTGTGGAATTTGCAAGTGGAGATTTCAAGCGATTTGACGCCAATCTTAGACATGGAAATATCTTCATATTAAAACTACACAGAGTCATTCGCAGAAACTAGTTTGTGATGTGTGCCTTCAACTCACGGAGTTTAACCTTTCTTTTCATAGAGCAGTTTGGAAACACTCTATTTGTAAAGTCTGCAAGTGGATATTTGGACCTCTTTGAGGCCTTCGTTGGAAACGGGATTTCTTCATATAACGCTAGACAGAAGAATTCTCAGTAACTTCTTTGTGTTGTGTTTATTCCACTCACAGAGTTGAACCTTTCTTGAGAGAGAGCAGAGTTGAAACACTCTGTTTGTGGAATTTGCTAGTGCAGATTTCAAACGCTTCGAAGACAGTGATAGAAAAGGATATATCTTCGTATTAAAACTAGACAAAATCATTCTCAGAAAACACTTTGTGATGTGTGCGTTCAACTCACAGAGTTTAACCTTTCTTTAATCGAGCAGTTTGGAAATACACTCTTTGTAAGTCTGCAGCTGGATAATTGTCCCTCTATGAGCCCTTCGTTGGAAACGGGATTTCCTCTTATAATGCTAGACAGAAGAATTCTCAGTAACTTCTTTGTGTTGTTTGTATTCAACTCACAGATTTGAACCTTCCTTTAGAGAGAGCAGATTTGAAACACTCTGTTTTTGGAATTTGCAAGTGCAGATTACAAGCGCTTCTAGGCCTATGGCAGAAAAGGAAATATCTTCGTATAAAAACTACACAGAATCATTCTCAACAACTACTTTGTGATGTGTGCGTTCAACTCACAGAGTTTAACCTTTCTTTTCATAGAGCAGTTTGGAAACACTCTGTTTGTAAAGTCTGCAGGTGCTTATTTGGACTTCTTTGAGGCCTTCGTTGGAAACGGGATTTCTTCATGTAATGCTAGACAGAAGAATTCTCAGTCACTTCTTTGTGTTGTGTGTATTCAAGTCACAGAGTTGAACCTTCCTTTACACAGAGCAGTTTTGAAAAACTCTTTCTGTGGAATTTGCAAGTGGAGATTTCAAGCGATTTGAGGCTAATCTTTGAAATGGAAATAGCTTCGTGTAAAAACTACACAGAATCATTCTCAGAAACTGCTTTGTTATGTGTGCGTTCAGCTCACAGAGTTCCACCTTTCTTTTCATAGAGCAGTTTGGAAAGACTCTGTCTGTAAAGTCTGCAAGTGATTACTTGGACCCCTTTGAGGACTTCGTTGGAAGCGGGATTTTTTCATTTACTGCTAGACAGAAGAATTCTCAGTAAATCCTTTGTGTTGTGTGTATTCAACTCACAGAGTGGAACCTTCCTTTATTCAGAGCACTTTTGAAACACTCTTTTTGTGGAAATTGCAAGTGGAGATTTCAAGCGAATTCACGCCAATCTTAGACATGGAAACATCTTCGTATTAAAAGTACACAGAGTCATTCGTAGAAACTAGTTTGTGATGTGTGCCTTCAACTCACAGAGTTTAACCTTTCTTTTCATAGAGCAGTTTGGAAACACTCTGTTTGTAAAGTCTGCAAGTGGATATTTGGACCTCTTTGAGGCCTCCGTTGGAAACGGGATTTCTTCATACAACGCTAGACAGAAGAATTCTCAGTAACTTCTTTGTGTTGTGTGTATTCAACTCACAGAGTTGAACCTTTCTTGAGAGAGAGCAGAGTTGAAACACTCTGTTTGTGGAATTTGCTAGTGCAGATTTCAAACGCTTCGAAGACAGTGATAGAAAAGGATATATCTTCGTATTAAAACTAGACAAAATCATTCTCAGAAAACACTTTGTGATGTGTGTGTTCAACTCACAGAGTTTAACCTTTCTTTAATCGAGCAGTTTGGAAATACACTCTTTGTAAGTCTGCAGCTGGATAATTGTCCCTCTATGAGCCCTTCGTTGGAAACGGGATTTCCTCTTATAATGCTAGACAGAAGAATTCTCAGTCACTTCTTTGTGTTGTGTGTATTCAAGTCACAGAGTTGAACCTACCTTTAGACAGAGTAGTTTTGAAAAATTCTTTCTGTGGAGTTTGCAAGTGGAGATTTCAAGCGATTTGAGGCTAATCTTTGAAATGGAAATATCTTCGTGTAAAAACTATACAGAATCATTCTCAGAAACTGCTTTGTCATCTGTGCGTTCAGTTCACAGAGTTTCACCTTTCTCTTCATAGAGCAGTTTGGAAAGACTCTGTCTGTAAAGTCTGCAAGTGATTAGTTAGACCCCTTTGAGGCCTTCGTTGGAAGCGGGATTTCTCATTTACTGCTAGACAGAAGAATTCTCAGTAAATCCTTTGTGTTGTGTGTATTCAACTCACAGAGTGGAACCTTCCTTTATTCAGAGCAGTTTTGAAACACTCTTTTTGTGGAATTTGCAAGTGGAGATTTCAAGCGATTTGACGCCAATCTTAGACATGGAAATATCTTCATATTAAAAGTACACAGAGTCATTCGTAGAAACTAGTTTGTGATGTGTGCCTTCAACTCACAGAGTTTAACCTTTCTTTTCATAGAGCAGTTTGGAAACACTCTATTTGTAAAGTCTGCAAGTGGATATTTGGACCTCTTTGAGGCCTTCGTTGGAAACGGGATTTCTTCATACAACGCTAGAGAGAAGAATTCTCAGTAACTTCTTTGTGTTGTTTGTATTCAACTCACAGATTTGAACCTTCCTTTGGAGAGAGCAGATTTGAAACACTCTGTTTTTGGAATTTGCAAGTGCAGATTGGAAGCGCTTCTAGGCCTATGTCAGAAAATTAAATATCTTCGTATAAAAACTACACAGAATCATTCTCAACAACTACTTTGTGATGTGTGCGTTCAACTCACAGAGTTTTACCTTTCTCTTCATAGAGCAGTTTGGAAACACTCTGTTTGTAAAGTCTGCAGGTGCTTATTTGGACTTCTTCGAGGCCTTCGTTGGAAACGGGATTTCTTCGTATAATGCTAGACAGAAGAATTCTCAGTCACTTCTTTGTGTTGTGTGTATTCAAGTCACAGAGTTGAACCTTCCTTTACACAGAGCAGTTTTGAAAAACTCTTTCTGTGGAATTTGCAAGTGGAGATTTCAAGCGATTTGAGGCTAATCTTTGAAATGGAAATATCTTCGTGTAAAAACTACACAGAATCATTCTCAGAAACTGCTTTGTCATCTGTGCGTTCAGTTCTCAGAGTTTCACCTTTCTCTTCATAGAGCAGTTTGGAAAGACTCTGTCTGTAAAGTCTGCAAGTGATTAGTTAGACCCCTTTGAGGCCTTCGTTGGAAGCGGGATTTCTCATTTACTGCTAGACAGAAGAATTCTCAGTAAATCCTTTGTGTTGTGTGTATTCAACTCACAGAGTGGAACCTTCCTTTATTCAGAGCAGTTTTGAAACACTCTTTTTGTGGAATTTGCAAGTGGAGATTTCAAGCAAATTCACGCCAATCTTAGACATGGAAACATCTTCGTATTAAAAGTACACAGAATCATTCTCAGAAACTACTTTTTGATGTGTGCATTCAACTCACAGATTTTAACCTTTCTTTTGATAGAGCAGTTTTGAAACACTCTTTTTGTAAAATCTGCAAGAGGATATTTGGACCTCTTTGAGGCCTTCTTTGGAAACGGGATTTCTTCATATACTGCTAGACAGAATAAATCTTAATAACTTCCTTGTGTTGTTTGTATTCAACTCACAGATTTGAACCTTCCTTTGGAGAGAGCAGATTTGAAACACTCTGTTTTTGGAATTTGCAAGTGCAGATTGCAAGCGCTTCTAGGCCTATGGCAGAAAAGGAAATATCTTCGTATAAAAACTACACAGAATCATTCTCAACAACTACTTTGTGATGTGTGCGTTCAACTCACAGAGTTTAACCTTTCTTTTCATAGAGCAGTTTGGAAACACTCTGTTTGTAAAGTCTGCAGGTGCTTATTTGGACTTCTTTGAGGCCTTCGTTGGAAACGGGATTTCTTCATATAATGCTAGACAGAAGAATTCTCAGTCACTTCTTTGTGTTGTGTGTATTCAAGTCACAGAGTTGAACCTTCCTTTACACAGAGCAGTTTTGAAAAACTCTTTCTGTGGAATTTGCAAGTGGAGATTTCAAGCGATTTGTGGCTAATCTTTGAAATGGAAATAGCTTCGTGTAAAAACTACACAGAATCATTGTCAGAAACTGCTTTGTTATGTGTGCGTTCAGCTCACAGAGTTCCACCTTTCTTTTCATAGAGCAGTTTGGAAAGACTCTGTCTGTAAAGTCTGCAAGTGATTACTTGGACCCCTTTGAGGACTTCGTTGGAAGCGGGATTTTTTCATTTACTGCTAGACAGAAAGAATTCTCAGTAAATCCTTTGTGTTGTGTGTATTCAACTCACAGAGTGGAACCTTCCTTTATTCAGAGCAGTTTTGAAACACTCTTTTTGTGGAATTTGCAAGTGGAGATTTCAAGCGAATTCACGCCAATCTTAGACATGGAAACATCTTCGTATTAAAAGTACACAGAGTCATTCGCAGAAACTAGTTTGTGATGTGTGCCTTCAACTCACGGAGTTTAACCTTTCTTTTCATAGAGCAGTTTGGAAACACTCTCTTTGTAAAGTCTGCAAGTGGATATTTGGACCTCTTTGAGGCCTTCGTTGGAAACGGGATTTCTTCATATAACGCTAGACAGAAGAATTCTCAGTAACTTCTTTGTGTTGTTTGTATTCAACTCACAGATTTGAACCTTCCTTTAGAGAGAGCAGATTTGAAACACTCTGTTTTTGGAATTTGCAAGTGCAGATTACAAGCGCTTCTAGGCCTATGGCAGAAAAGGAAATATCTTCGTATAAAAACTACACAGAATCATTCTCAACAACTACTTTGTGATGTGTGCGTTCAACTCACAGAGTTTAACCTTTCTTTTCATAGAGCAGTTTGGAAACACTCTGTTTGTAAAGTCTGCAGGTGCTTATTTGGACTTCTTTGAGGCCTTCGTTGGAAACGGGATTTCTTCATGTAATGCTAGACAGAAGAATTCTCAGTCACTTCTTTGTGTTGTGTGTATTCAAGTCACAGAGTTGAACCTTCCTTTACACAGAGCAGTTTTGAAAAACTCTTTCTGTGGAATTTGCAAGTGGAGATTTCAAGCGATTTGAGGCTAATCTTTGAAATGGAAATATCTTCGTGTAAAAACTACACAGAATCATTCTCAGAAACTGCTTTGTTATGTGTGCGTTCAACTCACAGAGTTCCACCTTTCTTTTCATAGAGCAGTTTGGAAAGACTCTGTCTGTAAAGTCTGCAAGTGATTACTTGGACCCCTTTGAGGACTTCGTTGGAAGCGGGATTTTTTCATTTACTGCTAGACAGAAGAATTCTCAGTAAATCCTTTGTGTTGTGTGTATTCAACTCACAGAGTGGAACCTTCCTTTATTCAGAGCAGTTTTGAAACACTCTTTTTGTGGAATTTGCAAGTGGAGATTTCAAGCGAATTCACGCCAATCTTAGACATGGAAACATCTTCGTATTAAAAGTACACAGAGTCATTCGCAGAAACTAGCTTGTAATGTGTGCCTTCAACTCACGGAGTTTAACCTTTCTTTTCATAGAGCAGTTTGGAAACACTCTATTTGTAAAGTCTGCAAGTGGATATTTGGACCTCTTTGAGGCCTTCGTTGGAAACGGGATTTCTTCATATAACGCTAGACAGAAGAATTCTCAGTAACTTCTTTGTGTTGTGTGTATTCAACTCACAGAGTTGAACCTTTCTTGAGAGAGAGCAGAGTTGAAACACTCTTTCTGTGGAATTTGCTAGTGCAGATTTCAAACGCTTCGAAGACAGTGATAGAAAAGGATATATCTTCGTATTAAAACTAGACAAAATCATTCTCAGAAAACACTTTGTGATGTGTGTGTTCAACTCACAGAGGTTAACCTTTCTTTAATCGAGCAGTTTCGAAATACACTCTTTGTAAGTCTGCAGCTGGATAATTGTCCCTCTATGAGCCCTTCGTTGGAAACGGGATTTCCTCTTATAATGCTAGACAGAAGAATTCTCAGTAACTTCTTTGTGTTGTTTGTATTCAACTCACAGATTTGAACCTTCCTTTAGAGAGAGCAGATTTGAAACACTCTGTTTTCGGAATTTGCAAGTGCAGATTACAAGCGCTTCTAGGCCTATGGCAGAAAAGGAAATATCTTCGTATAAAAACTACACAGAATCATTCTCAACAACTACTTTGTGATGTGTGCGTTCAACTCACAGAGTTTAACCTTTCTTTTCATAGAGCAGTTTGGAAACACTCTGTTTGTAAAGTCTGCCGGTGCTTATTTGGACTTCTTTGAGGCCTTCGTTGGAAACGGGATTTCTTCATATAATGCTAGACAGAAGAATTCTCAGTCACTTCTTTGTGTTGTGTGTATTCAAGTCACAGAGTTGAACCTTCCTTTACACAGAGCAGTTTTGAAAAACTCTTTCTGTGGAATTTGCAAGTGGAGATTTCAAGCGATTTGAGGCTAATCTTTGAAATGGAAATATCTTCGTGTAAAAACTACACAGAATCATTCTCAGAAACTGCTTTGTTATGTGTGCGTTCAGCTCACAGAGTTCCACCTTTCTTTTCATAGAGCAGTTTGGAAAGACTCTGTCTGTAAAGTCTGCAAGTGATTACTTGGACCCCTTTGAGGACTTCGTTGGAAGCGGGATTTTTTCATTTACTGCTAGACAGAAGAATTCTCAGTAAATCCTTTGTGTTGTGTGTATTCAACTCACAGAGTGGAACCTTCCTTTATTCAGAGCACTTTTGAAACACTCTTTTTGTGGAATTTGCAGGTGGAGATTTCAAGCGAATTCACGCCAATCTTAGACATGGAAACATCTTCGTATTAAAAGTACACAGAGTCATTCGTAGAAACTAGTTTGTGATGTGTGCCTTCAACTCACAGAGTTTAACCTTTCTTTTCATAGAGCAGTGGGGAAACACTCTATTTGTAAAGTCTGCAAGTGGATATTTGGACCTCTTTGAGGCCTTCGTTGGAAACGGGATTTCTTCATATAACGCTAGACAGAAGAATTCTCAGTAACTTCTTTGTGTTGTTTGTATTCAACTCACAGATTTGAACCTTCCTTTAGAGAGAGCAGATTTGAAACACTCTGTTTTTGGAATTTGCAAGTGCAGATTACAAGCGCTTCTAGGCCTATGGCAGAAAAGGAAATATCTTCGTATAAAAACTACACAGAATCATTCTCAACAACTACTTTGTGATGTGTGCGTTCAACTCACAGAGTTTAACCTTTCTTTTCATAGAGCAGTTTGGAAACACTCTGTTTGTAAAGTCTGCAGGTGCTTATTTGGACTTCTTTGAGGCCTTCGTTGGAAACGGGATTTCTTCATATAATGCTAGACAGAAGAATTCTCAGTCACTTCTTTGTGTTGTGTGTATTCAAGTCACAGAGTTGAACCTTCCTTTACACAGAGCAGTTTTGAAAAACTCTTTCTGTGGAATTTGCAAGTGGAGATTTCAAGCGATTTGAGGCTAATCTTTGAAATGGAAATATCTTCGTGTAAAAACTACACAGAATCATTCTCAGAAACTGCTTTGTTATGTGTGCGTTCAGCTCACAGAGTTCCACCTTTCTTTTCATAGAGCAGTTTGGAAAGACTCTGTCTGTAAAGTCTGCAAGTGATTACTTGGACCCCTTTGAGGACTTCGTTGGAAGCGGGATTTTTTCATTTACTGCTAGACAGAAGAATTCTCAGTAAATCCTTTGTGTTGTGTGTATTCAACTCACAGAGTGGAACCTTCCTTTATTCAGAGCAGTTTTGAAACACTCTTTTTGTGGAATTTGCAAGTGGAGATTTCAAGCGAATTCACGCCAATCTTAGACATGGAAACATCTTCGTATTAAAAGTACACAGAGTCATTCGCAGAAACTAGTTTGTGATGTGTGCCTTCAACTCACGGAGTTTAACCTTTCTTTTCATAGAGCAGTTTGGAAACACTCTATTTGTAAAGTCTGCAAGTGGATATTTGGACCTCTTTGAGGCCTTCGTTGGAAACGGGATTTCTTCATATAACGCTAGACAGAAGAATTCTCAGTAACTTCTTTGTGTTGTGTGTATTCCACTCACAGAGTTGAACCTTTCTTGAGAGAGAGCAGAGTTGAAACACTCTGTTTGTGGAATTTGCTAGTGCAGATTTCAAACGCTTCGAAGACAGTGATAGAAAAGGATATATCTTCGTATTAAAACTAGACAAAATCATTCTCAGAAAACACTTTGTGATGTGTGTGTTCAACTCACAGAGTTTAACCTTTCTTTAATCGAGCAGTTTGGAAATACACTCTTTGTAAGTCTGCAGCTGGATAATTGTCCCTCTATGAGCCCTTCGTTGGAAACGGGATTTCCTCTTATAATGCTAGACAGAAGAATTCTCAGTAACTTCTTTGTGTTGTTTGTATTCAACTCACAGCATTTGAACCTTCCTTTAGAGAGAGCAGATTTGAAACACTCTGTTTTTGGAATTTGCAAGTGCAGATTACAAGCGCTTCTAGGCCTATGGCAGAAAAGGAAATATCTTCGTATAAAAACTACACAGAATCATTCTCAACAACTACTTTGTGATGTGTGCGTTCAACTCACAGAGTTTAACCTTTCTTTTCATAGAGTAGTTTGGAAACACTCTGTTTGTAAAGTCTGCAGGTGCTTATTTGGACTTCTTTGAGGCCTTCGTTGGAAACGGGATTTCTTCATATAATGCTAGACAGAAGAATTCTCAGTCACTTCTTTGTGTTGCGTGTATTCAAGTCACAGAGTTGAACCTTCCTTTACACAGAGCAGTTTTGAAAAACTCTTTCTGTGGAATTTGCAAGTGGAGATTTCAAGCGATTTGAGGTTAATCTTTGAAATGGAAATAGCTTCGTGTAAAAACTACACAGAATCATTCTCAGAAACTGCTTTGTTATGTGTGCGTTCAGCTCACAGAGTTCCACCTTTCTTTTCATAGAGCAGTTTGGAAAGACTCTGTCTGTAAAGTCTGCAAGTGATTACTTGGACCCCTTTGAGGACTTCGTTGGAAGCGGGATTTTTTCATTTACTGCTAGACAGAAGAATTCTCAGTAAATCCTTTGTGTTGTGTGTATTCAACTCACAGAGTGGAACCTTCCTTTATTCAGAGCAGTTTTGAAACACTCTTTTTGTGGAATTTGCAAGTGGAGATTTCAAGCGAATTCACGCCAATCTTAGACATGGAAACATCTTCGTATTAAAAGTACACACAGTCATTCGCAGAAACTAGTTTGTGATGTGTGCCTTCAACTCACAGAGTTTAACCTTTCTTTTCATAGAGCAGTTTGGAAACACTCTATTTGTAAAGTCTGCAAGTGGATATTTGGACCTCTTTGAGGCCTTCTTTGGAAACGGGATTTCTTCATATAACGCTAGACAGAAGATTCTCAGTAACTTCTTTGTGTTGTGTGTATTCCACTCACAGAGTTGAACCTTTCTTGAGAGAGAGCAGAGTTGAAACACTCTTTTTGTGGAATTTGCTAGTGCAGATTTCAAACGCTTCGAAGACAGTGATAGAAAAGGATATATCTTCGTATTAAAACTAGACAAAATCATTCTCAACAACTACTTTGTGATGTGTGCGTTCAACTCACAGAGGTTAACCTTTCTTTTCAGAGAGCAGTTTGGAAACACTCTGTTTGTAAAGCCTGCAAGTGCTTTTTTGGACTTCATTGAGGCCTTCGTTGGAAACGGGATTTCTTCATACAACGCTAGACAGAAGAATTCTCAGTAACTTCTTTGTGTTGTGTGTATTCAACTCACAGAGTTGAACCTTTCTTTAGAGAGAACAGAGTTGAAACACTCTGTTTTTGGAATTTGCAAGTGCAGATTTCAAGCCATTCTAGGCCTATGGCAGAAAAGGAAATATCTTCGTAGAAAAACTACACAGAATCATTCTCAACAACTACTTTGTGATGTGTGCGTTCAACTCACAGAGTTTAACCTTTCTTTTCATAGAGCAGTTTGGAAACACTCTGTTTGTAAAGCCTGCAAGTGCTTTTTTGGACTTCATTGAGGCCTTCGTTGGAAACGGGATTTCTTCATATAACGCTAGACAGAAGAATTCTCAGTCACTTCTTTGTGTTGTGTGTATTCAAGTCACAGAGTTGAACCTTCCTTTAGACAGAGCAGTTTTGAAAAATTCTTTCTGTGGAATTTGCAAGTGGAGATTTCAAGCGATTTGAGGCTAATCTTTGAAATGGAAATATCTTCGTGTAAAAACTACACAGAATCATTCTCAGAAACTGCTTTGTCATATGTGCGTTCAGTTCACAGAGTTTCACCTTTCTCTTCATAGAGCAGTTTGGAAAGACTCTGTCTGTAAAGTCTGCAAGTGATTAGTTAGACCCCTTTGAGGCCTTCGTTGGAAGCGGGATTTCTCATTTACTGCTAGACAGAAGAATTCTCAGTAAATCCTTTGTGTTGTGTGTATTCAACTCACAGAGTGGAACCTTCCTTTATTCAGAGCAGTTTTGAAAAACACTTTTTGTGGAATTTGCAAGTGGAGATTTCAAGCGATTTGACGCCAATCTTAGACATGGAAATATCTTCATATTAAAAGTACACAGAGTCATTCGTAAAAACTAGTTTGTGATGTGTGCCTTCAACTCACAGAGTTTAACCTTTCTTTTCATAGAGCAGTTTGGAAACACTCTATTTGTAAAGTCTGCAAGTGGATATTTGGACCTCTTTGAGGCCTTCGTTGGAAACGGGATTTCTTCATACAACGCTAGACAGAAGAATTCTCAGTAACTTCTTTGTGTTGTTTGTATTCAACTCACAGAGTTGAACCTTTCTTTAGAGAGAGCAGAGTTGAAACACTCTGTTTTTGGAATTTGCAAGTGCAGATTTCAAGCGATTCTAGGCCTATGGCAGAAAAGGAAATATCTTCGTATAAAAACTACACAGAATCATTCTCAACAACTACTTTGTGATGTGTGCGTTCAACTCACAGAGTTTAACCTTTCTTTTCATAGAGCAGTTTGGAAACACTCTGTTTGTAAAGTCTGCAGGTGCTTATTTGGACTTCTTTGAGGCCTTCGTTGGAAACGGGATTTCTTCATATAATGCTAGACAGAAGAATTCTCAGTCACTTCTTTGTGTTGTGTGTATTCAAGTCACAGAGTTGAACCTTCCTTTACACAGAGCAGTTTTGAAAAACTCTTTCTGTGGAATTTGCAAGTGGAGATTTCAAGCGATTTGAGGCTAATCTTTGAAATGGAAATAGCTTCGTGTAAAAACTACACAGAATCATTCTCAGAAACTGCTTTGTTATGTGTGCGTTCAGCTCACAGAGTTCCACCTTTCTTTTCATAGAGCAGTTTGGAAAGACTCTGTCTGTAAAGTCTGCAAGTGATTACTTGGACCCCTTTGAGGACTTCGTTGGAAGCGGGATTTTTTCATTTAGTGCTAGACAGAAGAATTCTCAGTAAATCCTTTGTGTTGTGTTTATTCAACTCACAGAGTGGAACCTTCCTTTATTCAGAGCAGTTTTGAAACACTCTTTTTGTGGAATTTGCAAGTGGAGATTTCAAGCGATTTGACGCCAATCTTAGACATGGAAATATCTTCATATTAAAAGTACACAGAATCATTCGTAGAAACTAGTTTGTGATGTGTGCCTTCAACTCACAGAGTTTAACCTTTCTTTTCATAGAGCAGTTCGGAAACATTCTATTTGTAAAGTCTGCAAGTGGATATTTGGACCTCTTTGAGGCCTTCGTTGGAAACGGGATTTCTTCATATAACGCTAGACAGAAGAATTCTCAGTAACTTCTTTGTGTTGTGTGTATTCAACTCACAGAGTTGAACCTTTCTTTAGAGAGAGCAGAGTTGAAACACTCTTTTTGTGGAATTTGCTAGTGCAGATTTCAAACGCTTCGAAGACAGTGATAGAAAAGGATATATCTTCGTATTAAAACTAGACAAAATCATTCTCAGAAACTACTTTGTGATGTGTGCGTTCAACTCACAGGGTTTAACCTTTCTTTTCATAGAGCAGTTTGGAAACACTCTGATTGTAAAGTCTGCAAGTGCATATTTGGACTTCTTTGAGGCCTTCGTTGGAAATGGGATTTCTTCATATAATGCCAGACAGAAGAATTCTCAGTCACTTCTTTGTGTTGTGTGTATTCAAGTCACAGCAGTTGAACCTTCCATTACACAGAGCAGTTTTGAAAAACTCTTTCTGTGGAATTTGCAAGTGGAGATGTCAAGCGATTTGAGGCTAATCTTTGAAATGGAAATATCTTCGTGTAAAAACTACACAGAATCATTCTCAGAAACTGCTTTGTTATGTGTGCGTTCAGCTCACAGAGTTCCACCTTTCTTTTCATAGAGCAGTTTGGAAAGACTCTGTCTGTAAAGTCTGCAAGTGATTACTTGGACCCCTTTGAGGACTTCGTTGGAAGCGGGATTTTTTCATTTACTGCTAGACAGAAGAATTCTCAGTAAATCCTTTGTGTTGTGTGTATTCAACTCACAGAGTGGAACCTTCCTTTATTCAGAGCAGTTTTGAAACACTCTTTTTGTGGAATTTGCAAGTGGAGATTTCAAGCAAATTCACGCCAATCTTAGACATGGAAACATCTTCGTATTAAAAGTACACAGAAGTCATTCGTAGAAACTAGTTTGTGATGTGTGCCTTCAACTCACAGAGTTTAACCTTTCTTTTCATAGAGCAGTTGGGAAACACTCTATTTGTAAAGTCTGCAAGTGGATATTTGGACCTCTTTGAGGCCTTCGTTGGAAACGGGATTTCTTCATATAACGCTAGACAGAAGAATTCTCAGTAACTTCTTTGTGTTGTGTGTATTCAACTCACAGAGTTGAACCTTTCTTTAGAGGGAGCAGAGGTGAAACACTCTTTTTGTGGAATTTGCTAGTGTAGATTTCAAACGCTTCGAAGACAGTGATAGAAAAGGATATATCTTCGTATTAAAAGTAGACAAAATCATTCTCAGAAAACTCTTTGTGATGTGTGTGTTCAACTCACAGAGTTTAACCTTTCTTTAATCGAGCAGTTTGGAAATACACTCTTTGTAAGTCTGCAGGTGGATATTTGGCCCTCTTTGAGCCCTTCATTGGAAACGGGATTTCCTCATATAATGCTAGACAGAAGAATTCTCAGTAACTTCTTTGTGTTGTTTGTATTCAACACACAGATTTGAACCTTCCTTTAGAGAGAGCAGATTTGAAACACTCTGTTTTTGGAATTTGCAAGTGCAGGTTTCAAGCGCTTCTAGGCCTATGGCAGAAAAGGAAATATCTTCGTATAAAAACTACACAGAATCATTCTCAAAAACTACTTTGTGATGTGTGCGTTCAACTCACAGAGTTTAACCTTTCTTTTCATAGAGCAGTTTGGAAACACTCTGTTTGTAAAGTCTGCAGGTGCTTATTTGTACTTCTTTGAGGCCTTCGTTGGAAACGGGATTTCTTCATATAATGCTAGACAGAAGAATTCTCAGTCACTTCTTTGCGTTGCATGTATTCAAGTCACAGAGTTGAACCTTCCTTTAGACAGAGCAGTTTTGAAAAACTCTTTCTGTGGAATTTGCAAGTGGAGATTTCAAGCGATTTGAGGCTAATCTTTGAAATGGAAATATCTTCGTGTAAAAACTACACAGAATCATTCTCAGAAACTGCTTCATTATGTGTGCGTTCAGCTCACAGAGTTCCACCTTTCTTTTCATAGAGCAGTTTGGAAAGACTCTGTCTGTAAAGTCTGCAAGTGATTACTTGGACCCCTTTGAGGACTTCCTTTGAAGCGGGATTTTTTCATTTACTGCTAGACAGAAGAATTCTCAGTAAATCCTTTGTGTTGTGTGTATTCAACTCACAGAGTGGAACCTTCCTTTATTCAGAGCACTTTTGAAACACTCTTTTTGTGGAATTTGCAAGTGGAGATTTCAAGCGAATTCACGCCAATCTTAGACATGGAAACATCTTCGTATTAAAAGTACACAGAGTCATTCGCAGAAACTAGTTTGTGATGTGTGCCTTCAACTCACAGAGTTTAACCTTTCTTTTCATAGAGCAGTTTGGAAACACTCTATTTGTAAAGTCTGCAAGTGGATATTTGGACCTCTTTGAGGCCTTCGTTGGAAACGGGATTTCTTCATATAACGCTAGACAGAAGAATTCTCAGTAACTTCTTTGTGTTGTGTGTATTCCACTCACAGAGTTGAAACTTTCTTGAGAGAGAGCAGAGTTGAAACACTCTGTTTGTGGAATTTGCTAGTGCAGATTTCAAACGCTTCGAAGACAGTGATAGAAAAGGATATATCTTCGTATTAAAACTAGACAAAATCATTCTCAGAAAACACTTTGTGATGTGTGTGTTCAACTCACAGAGTTTAACCTTTCTTTAATCGAGCAGTTTGGAAATACACTCTTTGTAAGTCTGCAGCTGGATAATTGTCCCTCTATGAGCCCTTCGTTGGAAACAGGATTTCCTCTTATAATGCTAGACAGAAGAATTCTCAGTCACTTCTTTGTGTTGTGTGTATTCAAGTCACAGAGTTGAACCTTCCTTTAGACAGAGCAGTTTTGAAAAATTCTTTCTGTGGAGTTTGCAAGTGGAGATTTCAAGCGATTTTAGGCTAATCTTTGAAATGGAAATATACTTCGTGTAAAAACTACACAGAATCATTCTCAGAAACTGCTTTGTCATCTGTGCGTTCAGTTCACAGAGTTTCACCTTTCTCTTCATAGAGCAGTTTGGAAAGACTCTGTCTGTAAAGTCTGCAAGTGATTAGTTAGACCCCTTTGAGGCCTTCGTTGGAAGCGGGATTTCTCATTTACTGCTAGACAGAAGAATTCTCAGTAAATCCTTTGTGTTGTGTGTATTCAACTCACAGAGTGGAACCTTCCTTTATTCAGAGCAGTTTTGAAACACTCTTTTTGTGGAATTTGCAAGTGGAGATTTCAAGCGATTTGACGCCAATCTTAGACATGGAAATATCTTCATATTAAAAGTACACAGAGTCATTCGTAGAAACTAGTTTGTGATGTGTGCCTTCAACTCACAGAGTTTAACCTTTCTTTTCATAGAGCAGTTGGGAAACACTCTATTTGTAAAGTCTGCAAGTGGATATTTGGACCTCTTTGAGGCCTTCGTTGGAAACGGGATTTCTTCATATAACGCTAGACAGAAGAATTCTCAGTAACTTCTTTGTGTTGTGTGTATTCAACTCACAGAGTTGAACCTTTCTTTAGAGGGAGCAGAGGTGAAACACTCTTTTTGTGGAATTTGCTAGTGGAGATTTCAAACGCTTCGAAGACAGTGATAGAAAAGGATATATCTTCGTATTAAAAGTAGACAAAATCATTCTCAGAAAACTCTTTGTGATGTGTGTGTTCAACTCACAGAGTTTAACCTTTCTTTTCATAGAGCAGTTTGGAAACACTCTGTTTGTAAAGCCTGCAAGTGCTTTTTTGGACTTCATTGAGGCCTTCGTTGGAAACGGGATTTCTTCATACAACGCTAGTCAGAAGAATTCTCAGTAACTTCTTTGTGTTGTGTGTATTCAACTCACAGAGTTGAACCTTTCTTTAGAGAGACCATAGTTGAAACACTCTGTTTTTGGAATTTGCAAGTGCAGATTTCAAGCGCTTCTAGGCCTATGGCAGAAAAGGAAATATCTTCGTATAAAAACTACACAGAATCATTCTCAACAACTACTTTGTGATGTGTGCGTTCAACTCACAGAGTTTAACCTTTCTTTTCATAGAGCAGTTTGGAAACACTCTGTTTGTAAAGTCTGCAGGTGCTTATTTGGACTTCTTTGAGGCCTTCGTTGGAAACGGGATTTCTTCATATAATGCTAGACAGAAGAATTCTCAGTCACTTCTTTGTGTTGTGTGTATTCAAGTCACAGAGTTGAACCTTCCTTTACACAGAGCAGTTTTGAAAAACTCTTTCTGTGGAATTTGCAAGTGGAGATTTCAAGCGATTTGAGGCTAATCTTTGAAATGGAAATAGCTTCGTGTAAAAACTACACAGAATCATTCTCAGAAACTGCTTTGTTATGTGTGCGTTCAGCTCACAGAGTTCCACCTTTCTTTTCATAGAGCAGTTTGGAAAGACTCTGTCTGTAAAGTCTGCAAGTGATTACTTGGACCCCTTTGAGGACTTCGTTGGAAGCGGGATTTTTTCATTTACTGCTAGACAGAAGAATTCTCAGTAAATCCTTTGTGTTGTGTGTATTCAACTCACAGAGTGGAACCTTCCTTTATTCAGAGCACTTTTGAAACACTCTTTTTGTGGAATTTGCAAGTGGAGATTTCAAGCGAATTCACGCCAATCTTAGACATGGAAACATCTTCGTATTAAAAGTACACAGAGTCATTCGCAGAAACTAGTTTGTGATGTGTGCCTTCAACTCACGGAGTTTAACCTTTCTTTTCATAGAGCAGTTTGGAAACACTCTATTTGTAAAGTCTGCAAGTGGATATTTGGACCTCTTTGAGGCCTTCGTTGGAAATGGGATTTCTTCATATAACGCTAGACAGAAGAATTCTCAGTAACTTCTTTGTGTTGTGTGTATTCCACTCACAGAGTTGAAGCTTCCTTGAGAGAGAGCAGAGTTGAAACACTCTGTTTGTGGAATTTGCTAGTGCAGATTTCAAACGCTTCGAAGACAGTGATAGAAAAGGATATATCTTCGTATTAAAACTAGACAAAATCATTCTCAGAAAACACTTTGTGATGTGTGTGTTCAACTCACAGAGTTTAACCTTTCTTTAATCGAGCAGTTTGGAAATACACTCTTTGTAAGTCTGCAGCTGGATAATTGTCCCTCTATGAGCCCTTCGTTGGAAACAGGATTTCCTCTTATAATGCTAGACAGAAGAATTCTCAGTCACTTCTTTGTGTTGTGTGTATTCAAGTCACAGAGTTGAACCTTCCTTTACACAGAGCAGTTTTGAAAAACTCTTTCTGTGGAATTTGCAAGTGGAGATTTCAAGCGATTTGAGGCTAATCTTTGAAATGGAAATAGCTTCGTGTAAAAACTACACAGAATCATTGTCAGAAACTGCTTTGTTATGTGTGCGTTCAGCTCACAGAGTTCCACCTTTCTTTTCATAGAGCAGTTTGGAAAGACTCTGTCTGTAAAGTCTGCAAGTGATTACTTGGACCCCTTTGAGGACTTCGTTGGAAGCGGGATTTTTTCATTTACTGCTAGACAGAAGAATTCTCAGTAAATCCTTTGTGTTGTGTGTATTCAACTCACAGAGTGGAACCTTCCTTTATTCAGAGCAGTTTTGAAACACTCTTTTTGTGGAATTTGCAAGTGGAGATTTCAAGCGAATTCACGCCAATCTTAGACATGGAAACATCTTCGTATTAAAAGTACACAGAGTCATTCGCAGAAACTAGTTTGTGATGTGTGCGTTCAACTCACAGAGTTTAACCTTTCTTTTCATAGAGCAGTTTGGAAACACTCTGTTTGTAAAGTCTGCAGGTGCTTATTTGGACTTCTTTGAGGCCTTCGTTGGAAACGGGATTTCTTCATATAATGCTAGACAGAAGAATTCTCAGTCACTTCTTTGTGTTGTGTGTATTCAAGTCACAGAGTTGAACCTTCCTTTACACAGAGCAGTTTTGAAAAACTCTTTCTGTGGAATTTGCAAGTGGAGATTTCAAGCGATTTGAGGCTAATCTTTGAAATGGAAATAGCTTCGTGTAAAAACTACACAGAATCATTCTCAGAAACTGCTTTGTTATGTGTGCGTTCAGCTCACAGAGTTCCACCTTTCTCTTCATAGAGCAGTTTGGAAAGACTCTGTCTGTAAAGTCTGCAAGTGATTACTTGGACCCCTTTGAGGACTTCGTTGGAAGCGGGATTTTTTCATTTACTGCTAGACAGAAGAATTCTCAGTAAATCCTTTGTGTTGTGTGTATTCAACTCACAGAGTGGAACCTTCCTTTATTCAGAACACTTTTGAAACACTCTTTTTGTGGAATTTGCAGGTGGAGATTTCAAGCGAATTCACGCCAATCTTAGACATGGAAACATCTTCGTATTAAAAGTACACAGAGTCATTCGCAGAAACTAGTTTGTGATGTGTGCCTTCAACTCACGGAGTTTAACCTTTCTTTTCATAGAGCAGTTTGGAAACACTCTATTTGTAAAGTCTGCAAGTGGATATTTGGACCTCTTTGAGGCCTTCGTTGGAAACGGGATTTCTTCATATAACGCTAGACAGAAGAATTCTCAGTAACTTCTTTGTGTTGTGTGTATTCCACTCACAGAGTTGAACCTTTCTTGAGAGAGAGCAGAGTTGAAACACTCTGTTTGTGGAATTTGCTAGTGCCGATTTCAAACGCTTCGAAGACAGTGATAGAAAAGGATATATCTTCGTATTAAAACTAGACAAAATCATTCTCAGAAAACACTTTGTGATGTGTGTGTTCAACTCACAGAGTTTAACCTTTCTTTAATCGAGCAGTTTGGAAATACACTCTTTGTAAGTCTGCAGCTGGATAATTGTCCCTCTATGAGCCCTTCGTTGGAAACGGGATTTCCTCATATAATGCTAGACAGAAGAATTCTCAGTCACTTCTTTGTGTTGTGTGTATTCAAGTCACAGAGTTGAACCTTCCTTTAGACAGAGCAGTTTTGAAAAATTCTTTCTGTGGAGTTTGCAAGTGGAGATTTCAAGCGATTTGAGGCTAATCTTTGAAATGGAAATATCTTCGTGTAAAAACTACACAGAATCATTCTCAGAAACTGCTTTGTCATCTTGTGCGTTCAGTTCACAGAGTTTCACCTTTCTCTTCATAGAGCAGTTTGGAAAGACTCTGTCTGTAAAGTCTGCAAGTGATTAGTTAGACCCCTTTGAGGCCTTCGTTGGAAGCGGGATTTCTCATTTACTGCTAGACAGAAGAATTCTCAGTAAATCCTTTGTGTTGTGTGTATTCAACTCACAGAGTGGAACCTTCCTTTATTCAGAGCAGTTTTGAAAAACACTTTTTGTGGAATTTGGAAGTGGAGATTTCAAGCGATTTGACGCCAATCTTAGAAATGGAAATATCTTCATATTAAAATTACACAGAGTCATTCGTAGAAACTAGTTTGTGATGTGTGCCTTCAACTCACAGAGTTTAACCTTTCTTTTCATAGAGCAGTTTGGAAACACTCTATTTGTAAAGTCTGCAAGTGGATATTTGGACCTCTTTGAGGCCTTCGTTCGAAAAGGGATTTCTTCATACAACGCTAGACAGAAGAATTCTCAGTAACTTCTTTGTGTTGTGTGTATTCAACTCACAGAGATGAACCTTTCTTTAGAGAGAGCAGAGTTGAAACACCCTGTTTTTGGAATTTGCAAGTGCAGATTTCAAGCGCTTCTAGGCCTATGGCAGAAAAGGAAATATCTTCGTATAAAAACTACACAGAATCATTCTCAGAAAACACTTTGTGATGTGTGTGTTCAACTCACAGAGTTTAACCTTTCTTTAATCGAGCAGTTTGGAAATACACTCTTTGTAAGTCTGCAGCTGGATAATTGTCCCTCTATGAGCCCTTCGTTGGAAACGGGATTTCCTCATATAATGCTAGACAGAAGAATTCTCAGTCACTTCTTTGTGTTGTGTGTATTCAAGTCACAGAGTTGAACCTTCCTTTACACAGAGCAGTTTTGAAAAACTCTTTCTGTGGAATTTGCAAGTGGAGATTTCAAGCGATTTGAGGCTAATCTTTGAAATGGAAATATCTTCGTGTAAAAACTACACAGAATCATTCTCAGAAACTGCTTTGTTATGTGTGCGTTCAGCTCACAGAGTTCCACCTTTCTTTTCATAGAGCAGTTTGGAAAGACTCTGTCTGTAAAGTCTGCAAGTGATTACTTGGACCCCTTTGAGGACTTCGTTGGAAGCGGGATTTTTTCATTTACTGCTAGACAGAAGAATTCTCAGTAAATCCTTTGTGTTGTGTGTATTCAACTCACAGAGTGGAACCTTCCTTTATTCAGAGCAGTTTTGAAACACTCTTTTTGTGGAATTTGCAAGTGGAGATTTCAAGCGAATTCACGCCAATCTTAGACATGGAAACATCTTCGTATTAAAAGTACACAGAGTCATTCGCAGAAACTAGTTTGTGATGTGTGCCTTCAACTCACGGAGTTTAACCTTTCTTTTCATAGAGCAGTTTGGAAACACTCTATTTGTAAAGTCTGCAAGTGGATATATGGACCTCTTTGAGGCCTTCGTTGGAAACGGGATTTCTTCATATAACGCTAGACAGAAGAATTCTCAGTAACTTCTTTGTGTTGTGTGTATTCAACTCACAGAGTTGAACCTTTCTTTAGAGGGAGCAGAGGTGAAACACTCTTTTTGTGGAATTTGCTAGTGTAGATTTCAAACGCTTCGAAGACAGTGATAGAAAAGGATATATCTTCGTATTAAAAGTAGACAAAATCATTCTCAGAAAACTCTTTGTGATGTGTGTGTTCAACTCACAGAGTTTAACCTTTCTTTAATCGAGCGGTTTGGAAATACACTCTTTGTAAGTCTGCAGGTGGATATTTGGCCCTCTTTGAGCCCTTCGTTGGAAACGGGATTTCCTCATATAATGCTAGACAGAAGAATTCTCAGTAACTTCTTTGTGTTGTTTGTATTCAACACACAGATTTGAACCTTCCTTTAGAGAGAGCAGATTTGAAACACTCTGTTTTTGGAATTTGCAAGTGCAGATTTCAAGCGCTTCTAGGCCTATGGCAGAAAAGGAAATATCTTCGTATAAAAACTACACAGAATCATTCTCAACAACTACTTTGTGATGAGTGCGTTCAACTCACAGAGGTTAACCTTTCTTTTCAGAGAGCAGTTTGGAAACACTCTGTTTGTAAAGCCTGCAAGTGCTTTTTTGGACTTCATTGAGGCCTTCGTTGGAAACGAGATTTCTTCATATAATGCTAGACAGAAGAATTCTCAGTCACTTCTTTGTGTTGTGTGTATTCAAGTCACAGAGTTGAACCTTCCTTTAGACAGAGCAGTTTTGAAAAATTCTTTCTGTGGAGTTTGCAAGTGGAGATTTCAAGCGATTTGAGGCTAATCTTTGAAATGGAAATATCTTCGTGTAAAAACTACACAGAATCATTCTCAGAAACTGCTTTGTCATCTGTGCGTTCAGTTCACAGAGTTTCACCTTTCTCTTCATAGAGCAGTTTGGAAAGACTCTGTCTGTAAAGTCTGCAAGTGATTAGTTAGACCCCTTTGAGGCCTTCGTTGGAAGCGGGATTTCTCATTTACTGCTAGACAGGAGAATTCTCAGTAAATCCTTTGTGTTGTGTGTATTCAACTCACAGAGTGGAACCTTCCTTTATTCAGAGCAGTTTTGAAACACTCTTTTTGTGGAATTTGCAAGTGGAGATTTCAAGCGATTTGACGCCAATCTTAGACATGGAAATATCTTCATATTAAAAGTACACAGAGTCATTCGTAGAAACTAGTTTGTGATGTGTGCCTTCAACTCACAGAGTTTAACCTTTCTTTTCATAGAGCAGTTTGGAAACACTCTATTTGTAAAGTCTGCAAGTGGATATTTGGACCTCTTTGAGGCCTTCGTTGGAAACGGGATTTCTTCATACAACGCTAGACAGAAGAATTCTCAGTAACTTCTTTGTGTTGTGTGTATTCAACTCACAGAGTTGAACCTTTCTTTAGAGAGAGCAGAGTTGAAACACTCTGTTTTTGGAATTTGCAAGTGCAGATTTCAAGCGATTCTAGGCCTATGGCAGGAAAGGAAATATCTTCGTATAAAAACTACACAGAATCATTCTCAACAACTACTTTGTGATGTGTGCGTTCAACTCACAAAGTTTAACCTTTCTTTTCATAGAGCAGTTTGGAAACACGCTGTTTGCAAAGCCTGCAAGTGCTTTTTTGGACTTCATTGAGGCCTTCGTTGGAAACGGGATTTCTTCATATAATGCTAGACAGAAGAATTCTCAGTCACTTCTTTGTGTTGTGTGTATTCAAGTCACAGAGTTGAACCTTCCTTTACACAGAGCAGTTTTGAAAAACTCTTTCTGTGGAATTTGCAAGTGGAGATTTCAAGCGATTTGAGGCTAATCTTTGAAATGGAAATAGCTTCGTGTAAAAACTACACAGAATCATTCTCAGAAACTTCTTTGTTATGTGTGCGTTCAGCTCACAGAGTTCCACCTTTCTTTTCATAGAGCAGTTTGGAAAGACTCTGTCTGTAAAGTCTGCAAGTGATTACTTGGACCCCTTTGAGGACTTCGTTGGAAGCGGGATTTTTTCATTTACTGCTAGACAGAAGAATTCTCAGTAAATCCTTTGTGTTGTGTGTATTCAACTCACAGAGTGGAACCTTCCTTTATTCAGAGCAGTTTTGAAACACTCTTTTTGTGGAATTTGCAAGTGGAGATTTCAAGCGAATTCACGCCAATCTTAGACATGGAAACATCTTCGTATTAAAAGTACACAGAGTCATTCGCAGAAACTAGTTTGTGATGTGTGCGTTCAACTCACAGAGTTTAACCTTTCTTTTCATAGAGCAGTTTGGAAACACTCTGTTTGTAAAGTCTGCAGGTGCTTATTTGGACTTCTTTGAGGCCTTCGTTGGATACGGGATTTCTTCATATAATGCTAGACAGAAGAATTCTCAGTCACTTCTTTGTGTTGTGTGTATTCAAGTCACAGAGTTGAACCTTCCTTTACACAGAGCAGTTTTGAAAAACTCTTTCTGTGGAATTTGCAAGTGGAGATTTCAAGCGATTTGAGGCTAATCTTTGAAATGGAAATAGCTTCGTGTAAAAACTACACAGAATCATTCTCAGAAACTGCTTTGTTATGTGTGCGTTCAGCTCACAGAGTTCCACCTTTCTTTTCATAGAGCAGTTTGGAAAGACTCTGTCTGTAAAGTCTGCAAGTGATTACTTGGACCCCTTTGAGGACTTCGTTGGAAGCGGGATTTTTTCATTTACTGCTAGACAGAAGAATTCTCAGTAAATCCTTTGTGTTGTGTGTATTCAACTCACAGAGTGGAACCTTCCTTTATTCAGAGCAGTTTTGAAACACTCTTTTTGTGGAATTTGCAAGTGGAGATTTCAAGCGAATTCACGCCAATCTTAGACATGGAAACATCTTCGTATTAAAAGTACACAGAGTCATTCGCAGAAACTAGTTTGTGATGTGTGCCTTCAACTCACAGAGTTTAACCTTTCTTTTCATAGAGCAGTTTGGAAACACTCTATTTGTAAAGTCTGCAAGTGGATATTTGGACCTCTTTGAGGCCTTCGTTGGAAACGGGATTTCTTCATATAACGCTAGACAGAAGAATTCTCAGTAACTTCTTTGTGTTGTGTGTATTCCACTCACAGAGTTGAACCTTTCTTGAGAGAGAGCAGAGTTGAAACACTCTGTTTGTGGAATTTGCTAGTGCAGATTTCAAACGCTTCGAAGACAGTGATAGAAAAGGATATATCTTCGTATTAAAACTAGACAAAATCATTCTCAGAAAACACTTTGTGATGTGTGTGTTCAACTCACAGAGTTTAACCTTTCTTTAATCGAGCAGTTTGGAAATACACTCTTTGTAAGTCTGCAGCTGGATAATTGTCCCTCTATGAGCCCTTCGTTGGAAACAGGATTTCCTCTTATAATGCTAGACAGAAGAATTCTCAGTCACTTCTTTGTGTTGTGTGTATTCAAGTCACAGAGTTGAACCTTCCTTTAGACAGAGCAGTTTTGAAAAATTCTTTCTGTGGAGTTTGCAAGTGGAGATTTCAAGCGATTTGAGGCTAATCTTTGAAATGGAAATATCTTCGTGTAAAAACTACACAGAATCATTCTCAGAAACTGCTTTGTCATCTGTGCGTTCAGTTCACAGAGTTTCACCTTTCTCTTCATAGAGCAGTTTGGAAAGACTCTGTCTGTAAAGTCTGCAAGTGATTAGTTAGACCCCTTTGAGGCCTTCGTTGGAAGCGGGATTTCTCATTTACTGCTAGACAGAAGAATTCTCAGTAAATCCTTTGTGTTGTGTGTATTCAACTCACAGAGTGGAACATTCCTTTATTCAGAGCAGTTTTGAAACACTCTTTTTGTGGAATTTGCAAGTGGAGATTTCAAGCGATTTGACGCCAATCTTAGACATGGAAATATCTTCATATTAAAAGTACACAGAGTCATTCGTAGAAACTAGTTTGTGATGTGTGCCTTCAACTCACAGAGTTTAACCTTTCTTTTCATAGAGCAGTTTGGAAACACTCTATTTGTAAAGTCTGCAAGTGGATATTTGGACCTCTTTGAGGCCTTCGTTGGAAACGGGATTTCTTCATACAACGCTAGACAGAAGAATTCTCAGTAACTTCTTTGTGTTGTGTGTATTCAACTCACAGAGTTGAACCTTTCTTTAGAGAGAGCAGAGTTGAAACACTCTGTTTTTGGAATTTGCAACTGCAGATTTCAAGCGATTCTAGGCCTATGGCAGAAAAGGAAATATCTTCGTATAAAAACTACACAGAATCATTCTCAACAACTACTTTGTGATGTGTGCGTTCAACTCACAGAGTTTAACCTTTCTTTTCATAGAGCAGTTTGGAAACACTCTGTTTGTAAAGCCTGCAAGTGCTTTTTTGCACTTCATTGAGGCCTTCGTTGGAAACGGGATTTCTTCATATAATGCTAGACAGAAGAATTCTCAGTCACTTCTTTGTGTTGTGTGTATTCAAGTCACAGAGTTGAACCTTCCTTTACACAGAGCAGTTTTGAAAAACTCTTTCTGTGGAATTTGCAAGTGGAGATTTCAAGCGATTTGGAGGCTAATCTTTGAAATGGAAATATCTTCGTGTAAAAACTACACAGAATCATTCTCAGAAACTGCTTTGTTATGTGTGCGTTCAGCTCACAGAGTTCCACCTTTCTTTTCATAGAGCAGTTTGGAAAGACTCTGTCTGTAAAGTCTGCAAGTGATTACTTGGACCCCTTTGAGGACTTCGTTGGAAGCGGGATTTTTTCATTTACTGCTAGACAGAAGAATTCTCAGTAAATCCTTTGTGTTGTGTGTATTCAACTCACAGAGTGGAACCTTCCTTTATTCAGAGCACTTTTGAAACACTCTTTTTGTGGAATTTGCAGGTGGAGATTTCAAGCGAATTCACGCCAATCTTAGACATGGAAACATCTTCGTATTAAAAGTACACAGAATCATTCTCAACAACTACTTTGTGATGTGTGCGTTCAACTCACAGAGTTTAACCTTTCTTTTCATAGAGCAGTTTGGAAACACTCTGTTTGTAAAGCCTGGAAGTGCTTTTTTGGACTTCATTGAGACCTTCGTTGGAAACGGGATTTCTTCATACAACGCTAGACAGAAGAATTCTCAGTAACTTCTTTGTGTTGTGTGTATTCAACTCACAGAGTTGAACCTTTCTTTAGAGAGAGCAGAGTTGAAACCCTCTGTTTTTGGAATTTGCAAGTGCAGATTTCAAGCGATTCTAGGCCTATGGCAGAAAAGGAAATATCTTCGTATAAAAACTACACAGAATCATTCTCAACAACTACTTTGTGATGTGTGCGTTCAACTCACAGAGTTTAACCTTTCTTTTCATAGAGCAGTTTGGAAACACTCTGTTTGTAAAGCCTGCAAGTGCTTTTTTGGACTTCATTGAGGCCTTCGTTGGAAACGGGATTTCTTCATATAATGCTAGACAGAAGAATTCTCAGTCACTTCTTTGTGTTGTGTGTATTCAAGTCACAGAGTTGAACCTTCCTTTAGACAGAGCAGTTTTGAAAAATTCTTTCTGTGGAGTTTGCAAGTGGAGATTTCCAGCGATTTGAGGCTAATCTTTGAAATGGAAATATCTTCGTGTAAAAACTACACAGAATCATTCTCAGAAACTGCTTTGTCATCTGTGCGTTCAGTTCACAGAGTTTCACCTTTCTCTTCATAGAGCAGTTTGGAAAGACTCTGTCTGTAAAGTCTGCAAGTGATTAGTTAGACCCCTTTGAGGCCTTCGTTGGAAGCGGGATTTCTCATTTACTGCTAGACAGAAGAATTCTCAGTAAATCCTTTGTGTTGTGTGTATTCAACTCACAGAGTGGAACCTTCCTTTATTCAGAGCAGTTTTGAAACACTCTTTTTGTGGAATTTGCAAGTGGAGATTTCAAGCGATTTGACGCCAATCTTAGACATGGAAATATCTTCATATTAAAAGTACACAGAGTCATTCGTAGAAACTAGTTTGTGATGTGTGCCTTCAACTCACAGAGTTTAACCTTTCTTTTCATAGAGCAGTTGGGAAACACTCTATTTGTAAAGTCTGCAAGTGGATATTTGGACCTCTTTGAGGCCTTCGTTGGAAACGGGATTTCTTCATATAACGCTAGACAGAAGAATTCTCAGTAACTTCTTTGTGTTGTGTGTATTCAACTCACAGAGTTGAACCTTTCTTTAGAGGGAGCAGAGGTGAAACACTCTTTTTGTGGAATTTGCTAGTGTAGATTTCAAACGCTTCGAAGACAGTGATAGAAAAGGATATATCTTCGTATTAAAAGTAGACAAAATCATTCTCAGAAAACTCTTTGTGATGTGTGTGTTCAACTCACAGAGTTTAACCTTTCTTTAATCGAGCAGTTTGGAAATACACTCTTTGTAAGTCTGCAGGTGGATAATTGGCCCTCTTTGAGCCCTTCGTTGGAAACGGGATTTCCTCATATAATGCTAGACAGAAGAATTCTCAGTAACTTCTTTGTGTTGTGTGTATTCAACTCACAGAGTTGAACCTTTCTTTAGAGAGACCATAGTTGAAACACTCTGTTTTTGGAATTTCCAAGTGCAGATTTCAAGCGCTTCTAGGCCTATGGCAGAAAAGGAAATATCTTCGTATAAAAACTACACAGAATCATTCTCAACAACTACTTTGTGATGTGTGCGTTCAACTCACAGAGTTTAACCTTTCTTTTCATAGAGCAGTTTGGAAACACTCTGTTTGTAAAGCCTGCAAGTGCTTTTTTGGACTTCATTGAGGCCTTCGTTGGAAACGGGATTTCTTCATACAACGCTAGACAGAAGAATTCTCAGTAACTTCTTTGTGTTGTGTGTATTCAACTCACAGAGTTGAACCTTTCTTTAGAGAGAGCAGAGTTGAAACACTCTGTTTTTGGAATTTGCTAGTGCAGATTTCAAGCGATTCTAGGCCTATGGCAGAAAAGGGAATATCTTCGTATAAAAACTACACAGAATCATTCTCAACAACTACTTTGTGATGTGTGCGTTCAACTCACAGAGTTTAACCTTTCTTTTCATAGAGCAGTTTGGAAACACTCTGTTTGTAAAGCCTGCAAGTGCTTTTTTGGACTTCATTGAGGCCTTCGTTGGAAACGGGATTTCTTCATATAAGGCTAGACAGAAGAATTCTCAGTCACTTCTTTGTGTTGTGTGTATTCAAGTCACAGAGTTGAACCTTCCTTTAGACAGAGCAGTTTTGAAAAATTCTTTCTGTGGAGTTTGCAAGTGGAGATTTGAAGCGATTTGAGGCTAATCTTTGAAATGGAAATATCTTCATGTAAAAACTACACAGAATCATTCTCAGAAACTGCTTTGTCATCTGTGCGTTCAGTTCACAGAGTTTCACCTTTCTCTTCATAGAGCAGTTTGGAAAGACTCTGTCTGTAAAGTCTGCAAGTGATTAGTTAGACCCCTTTGAGGCCTTCGTTGGAAGCGGGATTTCTCATTTACTGCTAGACAGAAGAATTCTCAGTAAATCCTTTGTGTAGTGTGTATTCAACTCACAGACTGGAACCTTCCTTTATTCAGAGCAGTTTTGAAAAACACTTTTTGTGGAATTTGCAAGTGGAGATTTCAAGCGATTTGACGCCAATCTTAGACATGGAAATATCTTCATATTAAAAGTACACAGAGTCATTCGTAAAAACTAGTTTGTGATGTGTGCCTTCAACTCACAGAGTTTAACCTTTCTTTTCATAGAGCAGTTTGGAAACACTCTATTTGTAAAGTCTGCAAGTGGATATTTGGACCTCCTTTGAGGCCTTCGTTGGAAACGGGATTTCTTCATACAACGCTAGACAGAAGAATTCTCAGTAACTTCTTTGTGTTGTGTGTATTTAACTCACAGAGTTGAACCTTTCTTTAGAGAGAGCAGAGTTGAAACACTCTGTTTTTGGAATTTGCAACTGCAGATTTCAAGCGATTCTAGGCCTATGGCAGAAAAGGAAATATCTTCGTATAAAAACTACACAGAATCATTCTCAACAACTACTTTGTGATGTGTGCGTTCAACTCACAGAGTTTAACCTTTCTTTTCATAGAGCAGTTTGGAAACACTCTGTTTGTAAAGCCTGCAAGTGCTTTTTTGGACTTCATTGAGGCCTTCGTTGGAAACGGGATTTCTTCATATAATGCTAGACAGAAGAATTCTCAGTCACTTCTTTGTGTTGTGTGTATTCAAGTCACAGAGTTGAACCTTCCTTTAGACAGAGCAGTTTTGAAAAATTCTTTCTGTGGAGTTTGCAAGTGGAGATTTCAAGCGATTTGAGGCTAATCTTTGAAATGGAAATATCTTCGTTTAAAAACTACACAGAATCATTCTCAGAAACTGCTTTGTCATCTGTGCGTTCAGTTCACAGAGTTTCACCTTTCTCTTCATAGAGCAGTTTGGAAAGACTCTGTCTGTAAAGTCTGCAAGTGATTAGTTAGACCCCTTTGAGGCCTTCGTTGGAAGCGGGATTTCTCATTTACTGCTAGACAGAAGAATTCTCAGTAAATCCTTTGTGTTGTGTGTATTCAACTCACAGAGTGGAACCTTCCTTTATTCAGAGCAGTTTTGAAACACTCTTTTTGTGGAATTTGCAAGTGGAGATTTCAAGCGATTTGACGCCAATCTTAGACATGGAAATATCTTCATATTAAAAGTACACAGAGTCATTCGTAGAAACTAGTTTGTGATGTGTGCCTTCAACTCACAGAGTTTAACCTTTCTTTTCATAGAGCAGTTGGGAAACACTCTATTTGTAAAGTCTGCAAGTGGATATTTGGACCTCTTTGAGGCCTTCGTTGGAAACGGGATTTCTTCATATAACGCTAGACAGAAGAATTCTCAGTAACTTCTTTGTGTTGTGTGTATTCAACTCACAGAGTTGAACCTTTCTTTAGAGGGAGCAGAGGTGAAACACTCTTTTTGTGGAATTTGCTAGTGTAGATTTCAAACGCTTCGAAGACAGTGATAGAAAAGGATATATCTTCGTATTAAAAGTAGACAAAATCATTCTCAGGAAACTCTTTGTGATGTGTGTGTTCAACTCACAGAGTTTAACCTTTCTTTTCATAGAGCAGTTTGGAAACACTCTGTTTGTAAAGCCTGCAAGTGCTTTTTTGGACTTCATTGAGGCCTTCGTTGGAAACGGGATTTCTTCATACAACGCTAGACAGAAGAATTCTCAGTCACTTCTTTGTGTTGTGTGTATTCAAGTCACAGAGTTGAACCTTCCTTTAGACAGAGCAGTTTTGAAAAATTCTTTCTGTGGAGTTTGCAAGTGGAGATTTCAAGCGATTTGAGGCTAATCTTTGAAATGGAAATATCTTCGTGTAAAAACTACACAGAATCATTCTCAGAAACTGCTTTGTCATCTGTGCGTTCAGTTCACAGAGTTTCACCTTTCTCTTCATAGAGCAGTTTGGAAAGACTCTGTCTGTAAAGTCTGCAAGTGATTAGTTAGACCCCTTTGAGGCCTTCGTTGGAAGCGGGATTTCTCATTTACTGCTAGACAGAAGAATTCTCAGAAAATCCTTTGTGTTGTGTGTATTCAACTCACAGAGTGGAACCTTCCTTTATTCAGAGCAGTTTTGAAACACTCTTTTTGTGGAATTTGCAAGTGGAGATTTCAAGCGATTTGACGCCAATCTTAGACATGGAAATATCTTCATATTAAAAGTACACAGAGTCATTCGTAGAAACTAGTGTGTGATGTGTGCCTTCAACTCACAGAGTTTAACCTTTCTTTTCATAGAGCAGTTGGGAAACACTCTATTTGTAAAGTCTGCAAGTGGATATTTGGACCTCTTTGAGGCCTTCGTTGGAAACGGGATTTCTTCATATAACGCTAGACAGAAGAATTCTCAGTAACTTCTTTGTGTTGTGTGTATTCAACTCACAGAGTTGAACCTTTCTTTAGAGAGAGCAGAGTTGAAACACTCTGTTTTTGGAATTTGCAAGTGCAGATATCAAGCGATTCTAGGCCTATGGCAGAAAAGGAAATATCTTCGTATAAAAACTACACAGAATCATTCTCAACAACTACTTTGTGATGTGTGCGTTCAACTCACAAAGTTTAACCTTTCTTTTCATAGAGCAGTTTGGAAACACTCTGTTTGTAAAGCCTGCAAGTGCTTTTTTGGACTTCATTGAGGCCTTCGTTGGAAAGGGGATTTCTTCATATAATGCTAGACAGAAGAATTCTCAGTAAATCCTTTGTGTTGTGTGTATTCAACTCACAGAGTGGAACCTTCCTTTATTCAGAGCAGTTTTGAAACACTCTTTTTGTGGAATTTGCAAGTGGAGATTTCAAGCGATTTGACGCCAATCTTAGACATGGAAATATCTTCATATTAAAAGTACACAGAGTCATTCGTAGAAACTAGTTTGTGATGTGTGCCTTCAAATCACAGAGTTTAACCTTTCTTTTCATAGAGCAGTTTGGAAACACTCTATTTGTAAAGTCTGCAAGTGGATATTTGGACCTCTTTGAGGCCTTCGTTGGAAACGGGATTTCTTCATACAACACTAGACAGAAGAATTCTCAGTAACTTCTTTGTGTTGTTTGTATTCAACTCACAGATTTGAACCTTCCTTTAGAGAGAGCAGATTTGAAACACTCTGTTTTTGGAATTTGCAAGTGCAGATTACAAGCGCTTCTAGGCCTATGGCAGAAAAGGAAATATTCTTCGTATAAAAACTACACAGGAATCATTCTCAGGAACTACTTTCTGATGTGTGCGTTCAACACACGGAGTTTAACCTTTCTTTTCATAGAGCAGTTTGGAAACACTCTGTTTGTAAAGTCTGCAAGTGCATATTTGGACCTCTTTGAAGCGTTCGTTGGAAACGTGATTTCTTCATATAATGCTAGGCAGAAGAATTCTCAGTCACTTCTTTGTGTTGTGTGTATCTAAGTCACAGAGTTGAACCTTCCTTTAGACAGAGCAGTTTTGAAAAATTCTTTCTGTGGAATTTGCATGTGGAGATTTCAAGCGATTTGGGGCTAATCTTTGAAATGGAAATATCTTCGTGTAAAAACTACACAGAATCATTCTCAGAAACTGCTTTGTTATGTGTGCGTTCAGCTCACAGAGTTCCACCTTTCTTTTCATAGAGCAGTTTGGAAAGACTCTGTCTGTAAAGTCTGCAAGTGATTACTTGGACCCCTTTGAGGACTTCGTTGGAAGCGGGATTTTTTCATTTACTGCTAGACAGAAGAATTCTCAGTAAATCCTTTGTGTTGTGTGTATTCAACTCACAGAGTGGAACCTTCCTTTATTCAGAGGACTTTTGAAACACTCTTTTTGTGGAATTTGCAAGTGGAGATTTCAAGCGAATTCACGCCAATCTTAGACATGGAAACATCTTCGTATTAAAAGTACACAGAGTCATTCGCAGAAACTAGTTTGTGATGTGTGCCTTCAACTCACGGAGTTTAACCTTTCTTTTCATAGAGCAGTTTGGAAACACTCTATTTGTAAAGTCTGCAAGTGGATATTTGGACCTCTTTGAGGCCTTCGTTGGAAACGGGATTTCTTCATATAACGCTAGACAGAAGAATTCTCAGTAACTTCTTTGTGTTGTGTGTATTCAACTCACAGAGTTGAACCTTTCTTGAGAGAGAGCAGAGTTGAAACACTCTTTCTGTGGAATTTGCTAGTGCAGATTTCAAACGCTTCGAAGACAGTGATAGAAAAGGATATATCTTCGTATTAAAACTAGACAAAATCATTCTCAGAAAACACTTTGTGATGTGTGTGTTCAACTCACAGAGTTTAACCTTTCTTTAATCGAGCAGTTTGGAAATACACTCTTTGTAAGTCTGCAGCTGGATAATTGTCCCTCTATGAGCCCTTCGTTGGAAACGGGATTTCCTCTTATAATGCTAGACAGAAGAATTCTCAGTCACTTCTTTGTGTTGTGTGTATTCAAGTCACAGAGTTGAACCTTCCTTTACACAGAGCAGTTTTGAAAAACTCTTTCTGTGGAATTTGCAAATGGAGATTTCAAGCGATTTGAGGCTAATCTTTGAAATGGAAATATCTTCGTGTAAAAACTACACAGAATCATTCTCAGAAACTGCTTTGTCATCTGTGCGTTCAGTTCACAGAGTTTCACCTTTCTCTTCATAGAGCAGTTTGGAAAGACTCTGTCTGTAAAGTCTGCAAGTGATTAGTTAGACCCCTTTGAGGCCTTCGTTGGAAGCGGGATTTCTCATTTACTGCTAGACAGAAGAATTCTCAGTAAATCCTTTGTGTTGTGTGTATTCAACTCACAGAGTGGAACCTTCCTTTATTCAGAGCAGTTTTGAAACACTCTTTTTGTGGAATTTGCAAGTGGAGATTTCAAGCGATTTGACGCCAATCTTAGACATGGAAATATCTTCACATTAAAAGTACACAGAGTCATTCGTAGAAACTAGTTTGTGATGTGTGCCTTCAACTCACAGAGTTTAACCTTTCTTTTCATAGAGCAGTTGGGAAACACTCTATTTGTAAAGTCTGCAAGTGGATATTTGGACCTCTTTGAGGCCTTCGTTGGAAACGGGATTTCTTCATATAACGCTAGACAGAAGAATTCTCAGTAACTTCTTTGTGTTGTGTGTATTCAACTCACAGAGTTGAACCTTTCTTTAGAGGGAGCAGAGGTGAAACACTCTTTTTGTGGAATTTGCTAGTGTAGATTTCAAACGCTTCGAAGACAGTGATAGAAAAGGATATATCTTCGTATTAAAAGTAGACAAAATCATTCTCAGAAAACTCTTTGTGATGTGTGTGTTCAACTCACAGAGTTTAACCTTTCTTTAATCGAGCAGTTTGGAAATACACTCTTTGTAAGTCTGCAGGTGGATATTTGGCCCTCTTGGAGCCCTTCGTTGGAAACGGGATTTCCTCATATAATGCTAGACAGAAGAATTCTCAGTAAATTCTTTGTGTTGTTTGTATTCAACACACAGATTTGAACCTTCCTTTAGAGAGAGCAGATTTGAAACACTCTGTTTTTGGAATTTGCAAGTGCAGATTTCAAGCGCTTCTAGGCCTATGGCAGAAAAGGAAATATCTTCGTATAAAAACTACACAGAATCATTCTCAACAACTACTTTGTGATGTGTGCGTTCAACTCACAGAGGTTAACCTTTCTTTTCATAGAGCAGTTTGGAAACACTCTGTTTGTAAAGCCTGCAAGTGCTTTTTTGGACTTCATTGAGGCCTTCGTTGGAAACGGGATTTCTTCATACAACGCTAGACAGAAGAATTCTCAGTCACTTCTTTGTGTTGTGTGTATTCAACTCACAGAGTTGAACCTTTCTTTAGAGAGAACAGAGTTGAAACACTCTGTTTTTGGAATTTGCATTTGCAGATTTCAAGCGATTCTAGGCCTATGGCAGAAAAGGAAATATCTTCGTATAAAAACTACACAGAATCATTCTCAACAACTACTTTGTGATGTGTGCGTTCAACTCACAGAGTTTAACCTTTCTTTTCATAGAGCAGTTTGGAAACACTCTGTTTGTAAAGCCTGCAAGTGCTTTTTTGGACTTCATTGAGGCCTTCGTTGGAAACGGGATTTCTTCATATAATGCTAGACAGAAGAATTCTCAGTCACTTCTTTGTGTTGTGTGTATTCAAGTCACAGAGTTGAACCTTCCTTTAGACAGAGCAGTTTTGAAAAATTCTTTCTGTGGAGTTTGCAAGTGGAGATTTCAAGCGATTTGAGGCTAATCTTTGAAATGGAAATATCTTCGTGTAAAAACTACACAGAATCATTCTCAGAAACTGCTTTGTCATCTGTGCGTTCAGTTCACAGAGTTTCACCTTTCTCTTCATAGAGCAGTTTGGAAAGACTCTGTCTGTAAAGTCTGCAAGTGATTAGTTAGACCCCTTTGAGGCCTTCGTTGGAAGCGGGATTTCTCATTTACTGCTAGACAGAAGAATTCTCAGTAAATCCTTTGTGTTGTGTGTATTCAACTCACAGAGTGGAACCTTCCTTTATTCAGAGCAGTTTTGAAAAACACTTTTTGTGGAATTTGCAAGTGGAGATTTCAAGCGATTTGACGCCAATCTTAGACATGGAAATATCTTCATATTAAAAGTACACAGAGTCATTCGTAGAAACTAGTTTGTGATGTGTGCCTTCAACTCACAGAGTTTAACCTTTCTTTTCATAGAGCAGTTGGGAAACACTCTATTTGTAAAGTCTGCAAGTGGATATTTGGACCTCTTTGAGGCCTTCGTTGGAAACGGGATTTCTTCATATAACGCTAGACAGAAGAATTCTCAGTAACTTCTTTGTGTTGTGTGTATTCAACTCACAGAGTTGAACCTTTCTTTAGAGGGAGCAGAGGTGAAACACTCTTTTTGTGGAATTTGCTAGTGTAGATTTCCAACGCTTCGAAGACAGTGATAGAAAAGGATATATCTTCGTATTAAAAGTAGACAAAATCATTCTCAGAAAACTCTTTGTGATGTGTGTGTTCAACTCACAGAGTTTAACCTTTCTTTAATCGAGCAGTTTGGAAATACACTCTTTGTAAGTCTGCTGGTGGATATTTGGCCCTCTTTGAGCCCTTCGTTGGAAACGGGATTTCCTCATATAATGCTAGACAGAAGAATTCTCAGTCACTTCTTTGTGTTGTGTGTGTTCAAGTCACAGAGTTGAACCTTCCTTTAGACAGAGCAGTTTTGAAAAATTCTTTCTGTGGAGTTTGCAAGTGGAGATTTCAAGCGATTTGAGGCTAATCTTTGAAATGGAAATATCTTCGTGTAAAAACTACACAGAAGCATTCTCAGAAACTGCTTTGTCATCTGTGCGTTCAGTTCACAGTGTTTCACCTTTCTCTTCATAGAGCAGTTTGGAAAGACTCTGTCTTTAAAGTCTGCAAGTGATTAGTTAGACCCCTTTGAGGCCTTCGTTGGAAGCGGGATTTCTCATTTACTGCTAGACAGAAGAATTCTCAGTAAATCCTTTGTGTTGTGTGTATTCAACTCACAGAGTGGAACCTTCCTTTATTCAGAGCAGTTTTGAAACACTCTTTTTGTGGAATTTGCAAGTGGAGATTTCAAGCGATTTGACGCCAATCTTAGACATGGAAATATCTTCATATTAAAAGTACACAGAGTCATTCGTAGAAACTAGTTTGTGATGTGTGCCTTCAACTCACAGAGTTTAACCTTTCTTTTCATAGAGCAGTTGGGAAACACTCTATTTGTAAAGTCTGCAAGTGGATATTTGGACCTCTTTGAGGCCTTCGTTGGAAACGGGATTTCTTCATATAACGCTAGACAGAAGAATTCTCAGTAACTTCTTTGTGTTGTGTGTATTCAACTCATAGAGTTGAACCTTTCTTTAGAGGGAGCAGAGGTGAAACACTCTTTTTGTGGAATTTGCTAGTGTAGATTTCAAACGCTTCGAAGACAGTGATAGAAAAGGATATATCTTCGTATTAAAAGTAGACAAAATCATTCTCAGAAAACTCTTTGTGATGTGTGTGTTCAACTCACAGAGTTTAACCTTTCTTTAATCGAGCGGTTTGGAAATACACTCTTTGTAAGTCTGCAGGTGGATATTTGGCCCTCTTTGAGCCCTTCGTTGGAAACGGGATTTCCTCATATAATGCTAGACAGAAGAATTCTCAGTCACTTCTTTGTGTTGTGTGTATTCAAGTCACAGAGTTGAACCTTCCTTTACACAGAGCAGTTTTGAAAAACTCTTTCTGTGGAATTTGCAAGTGGAGATTTCAAGCGATTTGAGGCTAATCTTTGAAATGGAAATAGCTTCGTGTAAAAACTACACAGAATCATTGTCAGAAACTGCTTTGTTATGTGTGCGTTCAGCTCACAGAGTTCCACCTTTCTTTTCATAGAGCAGTTTGGAAAGACTCTGTCTGTAAAGTCTGCAAGTGATTACTTGGACCCCTTTGAGGACTTCGTTGGAAGCGGGATTTTTTCATTTACTGCTAGACAGAAGAATTCTCAGTAAATCCTTTGTGTTGTGTGTATTCAACTCACAGAGTGGAACCTTCCTCTATTCACAGCTGTTTTGAAACATTCTTTTTGTGGAATTTGCAGGTGGAGATTTCAAGCGAATTCACGCCAATCTTAGACATGGAAACATCTTCGTATTAAAAGTACACAGAGTCATTCACAGAAACTAGTTTGTGATGTGTGCCTTCAACTCACGGAGTTTAACCTTTCTTTTCATAGAGCAGTTTGGAAACACTCTATCTGTAAAGTCTGCAAGTGGATATTTGCACCTCTTTGAGGCCTTCGTTGGAAACGGGATTTCTTCATATAACGCTAGACAGAAGAATTCTCAGTAACTTCTCTGTGTTGTTTGTATTCAACACACAGATTTGAACCTTCCTTTAGAGAGAGCAGATTTGAAACACTCTGTTTTTGGAATTTGCAAGTGCAGATTTCAAGCGCTTTTAGGCCTATGGCAGAAAAGGAAATATCTTCGTATAAAAACTACACAGAATCATTCTCAACAACTACTTTGTGATGTGTGCGTTCAACTCACAGAGTTTAACCTTTCTTTTCATAGAGCAGTTTGGAAACACTCTGTTTGTAAAGTCTGCAGGTGCTTATTTGGACTTCTTTGAGGCCTTCGTTGGAAACGGGATTTCTTCATGTAATGCTAGACAGAAGAATTCTCAGTCACTTCTTTGTGTTGTGTGTATTCAAGTCACAGAGTTGAACCATCCTTTACACAGAGCAGTTTTGAAAAACTCTTTCTGTGGAATTTGCAAGTGGAGATTTCAAGCGATTTGAGGCTAATCTTTGAAATGGAAATAGCTTCGTGTAAAAACTACACAGAATCATTGTCAGAAACTGCTTTGTTATGTGTGCGTTCAGCTCACAGAGTTCCACCTTTCTTTTCATAGAGCAGTTTGGAAAGACTCTGTCTGTAAAGTCTGCAAGTGATTACTTGGACCCCTTTGAGGACTTCGTTGGAAGCGGGATTTTTTCATTTACTGCTAGACAGAAGAATTCTCAGTAAATCCTTTGTGTTGTGTGTATTCAACTCACAGAGTGGAACCTTCCTTTATTCAGAGCAGTTTTGAAACACTCTTTTTGTGGAATTTGCAAGTGGAGATTTCAAGCGAATTCACGCCAATCTTAGACATGGAAACATCTTCGTATTAAAAGTACACAGAGTCATTCGCAGAAACTAGTTTGTGATGTGTGCCTTCAACTCACAGAGTTTAACCTTTCTTTTCATAGAGCAGTTTGGAAACACTCTATTTGTAAAGTCTGCAAGTGGATATTTGGACCTCTTTGAGGCCTTCGTTGGAAACGGGATTTCTTCATATAACGCTAGACAGAAGAATTCTCAGTAACTTCTTTGTGTTGTGTGTATTCCACTCACAGAGTTGAACCTTTCTTGAGAGAGAGCAGAGTTGAAACACTCTGTTTCTGGAATTTGCTAGTGCAGATTTCAAACGCTTCGAAGACAGTGACAGAAAAGGATATATCTTCGTATTAAAACTAGACAAAATCATTCTCAACAACTACTTTGTGATGTGTGCGTTCAACTCACAGAGTTTAACCTTTCTTTTCATAGAGCAGTTTGGAAACACTCTGTTTGTAAAGTCTGCAGGTGCTTATTTGGACTTCTTTGAGGCCTCCGTTGGAAACGGGATTTCTTCATATAATGCTAGACAGAAGAATTCTCAGTCACTTCTTTGTGTTGTGTGTATTCAAGTCACAGAGTTGAACCTTCCTTTACACAGAGCAGTTTTGAAAAACTCTTTCTGTGGAATTTGCAAGTGGAGATTTCAAGCGATTTGAGGCTAATCTTTGAAATGGAAATATCTTCGTGTAAAAACTACACAGAATCATTGTCAGAAACTGCTTTGTTATGTGTGCGTTCAGCTCACAGAGTTCCACCTTTCTTTTCATAGAGCAGTTTGGAAAGACTCTGTCTGTAAAGTCTGCAAGTGATTACTTGGACCCCTTTGAGGACTTCGTTGGAAGCGGGATTTTTTCATTTACTGCTGGACAGAAGAATTCTCAGTAAATCCTTTGTGTTGTGTGTATTCAACTCACAGAGTGGAACCTTCCTTTATTCAGAGCAGTTTTGAAACACTCTTTTTGTGGAAATTGCAAGTGGAGATTTCAAGCGAATTCACGCCAATCTTAGACATGGAAACATCTTCGTATTAAAAGTACACAGAGTCATTCGCAGAAACTAGTTTGTGATGTGTGCCTTCAACTCACGGAGTTTAACCTTTCTTTTCATAGAGCAGTTTGGAAACACTCTCTTTGTAAAGTCTGCAAGTGGATATTTGGACCTCTTTGAGGCCTTCATTGGAAACGGGATTTCTTCATATAACGCTAGACAGAAGAATTCTCAGTAACTTCTTTGTGTTGTGTGTATTCCACTCACAGAGTTGAACCTTTCTTGAGAGAGAGCAGAGTTGAAACACTCTTTCTGTGGAATTTGCTAGTGCAGATTTCAAACGCTTCGAAGACAGTGATAGAAAAGGATATATCTTCGTATTAAAACTAGACAAAATCATTCTCAGAAAACACTTTGTGATGTGTGTGTTCAACTCACAGAGTTTAACCTTTCTTTAATCGAGCAGTTTGGAAATACACTCTTTGTAAGTCTGCAGCTGGATAATTGTCCCTCTATGAGCCCTTCCTTGGAAACGGGATTTCCTCTTATAATGCTAGACAGAAGAATTCTCAGTCACTTCTTTGTGTTGTGTGTATTCAAGTCACAGAGTTGAACCTTCCTTTAGACAGAGCAGTTTTGAAAAATTCTTTCTGTGGAGTTTGCAAGTGGAGATTTCAAGCGATTTGAGGCTAATCTTTGAAATGGAAATATCTTCGTGTAAAAAGTACACAGAAGCATTCTCAGAAACTGCTTTGTCATCTGTGCGTTCAGTTCACAGAGTTTCACCTTTCTCTTCATAGAGCAGTTTGGAAAGACTCTGTCTTTAAAGTCTGCAAGTGATTAGTTAGACCCCTTTGAGGCCTTCGTTGGAAGCGGGATTTCTCATTTACTGCTAGACAGAAGAATTCTCAGTAAATCCTTTGTGTTGTGTGTATTCAACTCACAGAGTGGAACCTTCCTTTATTCAGAGCAGTTTTGAAAAACACTTTTTGTGGAATTTGCAAGTGGAGATTTCAAGCGATTTGACGCCAATCTTAGACATGGAAATATCTTCATATTAAAAGTACACAGAGTCATTCGTAGAAACTAGTTTGTGATGTGTGCCTTCAACTCACAGAGTTTAACATTTCTTTTCATAGAGCAGTTTGGAAACACTCTATTTGTAAAGTCTGCAAGTGGATATTTGGACCTCTTTGAGGCCTTCGTTGGAAACGGGATTTCTTCATACAACGCTAGACAGAAGAATTCTCAGTAACTTCTTTGTGTTGTGTGTATTCAACTCACAGAGTTGAACCTTTCTTTAGAGAGAGCAGAGTTGAAACACTCTGTTTTTGGAATTTGCAACTGCAGATTTCAAGCGATTCTAGGCCTATGGCAGAAAAGGAAATATCTTCGTATAAAAACTACACAGAATCATTCTCAACAACTACTTTGTGATGTGTGCGTTCAACTCACAGAGTTTAACCTTTCTTTTCATAGAGCAGTTTGGAAACACTCTGTTTGTAAAGCCTGCAAGTGCTTTTTTGGACTTCATTGAGGCCTTCGTTGGAAACGGGATTTCTTCATATAATGCTAGACAGAAGAATTCTCAGTCACTTCTTTGTGTTGTGTGTATTCAAGCCACAGAGTTGAACCTTCCTTTAGACAGAGCAGTTTTGAAAAATTCTTTCTGTGTAATTTGCAAGTGGAGATTTCAAGCGATTTGAGGCTAATCTTTGAAATGGAAATATCTTCGTGTAAAAACTACACAGAATCATTCTCAGAAACTGCTTTGTTATGTGTGCGTTCAGCTCGCAGAGTTCCACCTTTCTTTTCATAGAGCAGTTTGGAAAGACTCTGTCTGTAAAGTCTGCAAGTGATTACTTGGACCCCTTTGAGGACTTCGTTGGAAGCGGGATTTTTTCATTTACTGCTAGACAGAAGAATTCTCATTAAATCCTTTGTGTTGGGTGTATTCAACTCACAGAGTTGAACCTTCCTTTATTCAGAGCAGTTTTGAAACACTATTTTTGTGGAATTTGCAAGTGGAGATTTCAAGCGATTTGAGGCTAATCTTTGAAATGGAAATATCTTCGTGTAAAAACTGCACAGAGTCATTCGCAGAAACTAGTTTGTGATGTGTGCCTTCAACTCACAGAGTTTAAGCTTTCTTTTCATAGAGCAGTTTGGAAACACTCTATTTGTAAAGTCTGCAAGTGGATATTTGGACCTCTTTGAGGCCTTCGTTGGAAACGGGATTTCTTCATATAACGCTAGACAGAAGAATTCTCTGTAACTTCTTTGTGTTGTGTGTATTCCACTCACAGAGTTGAACCTTTCTTGAGAGAGAGCAGAGTTGAAACACTCTTTCTGTGGAATTTGCTAGTGCAGATTTCAAACGCTTCGAAGACAGTGATAGAAAAGGATATATCTTCGTATTAAAACTAGACAAAATCATTCTCAGAAAACACTTTGTGATGTGTGTGTTCAACTCACAGAGTTTAACCTTTCTGTAATCGAGCAGTTTGGAAATACACTCTTTGTAAGTCTGCAGGTGGATAATTGTCCCTCTATGAGCCCTTCGTTGGAAACGGGATTTCCTCATATAATGCTAGACAGAAGAATTCTCAGTAACTTCTTTGTGTTGTTTGTATTCAACTCACAGATTTGAACTTTCCTTTAGAGAGAGGAGATTTGAAACACTCTGTTTTTGGAAATTGTAAGTGCAGATTGCAAGCGCTTCTAGGCCTATGGCAGAAAAGGAAATATCTTCGTATAAAAACTACACAGAATCATTCTCAACAACTACTTTGTGATGTGTGCGTTCAACTCACAGAGTTTAACCTTTCTTTTCATAGAGCAGTTTGGAAACACTCTGTTTGTAAAGTCTGCAGGTGCTTATTTGGACTTCTTTGAGGCCTTCGTTGGAAACGGGATTTCTTCATATAATGCTAGACAGAAGAATTCTCAGTCACTTCTTTGTGTTGTGTGTATTCAAGTCACAGAGTTGAACCTTCCTTTACACAGAGCAGTTTTGAAAAACTCTTTCTGTGGAATTTGCAAGTGGAGATTTCAAGCGATTTGAGGCTAATCTTTGAAATGGAAATATCTTCGTGTAAAAACTACACAGAATCATTCTCAGAAACTGCTTTGTTATGTGTGCGTTCAGCTCACAGAGTTCCACCTTTCTTTTCATAGAGCAGTTTGGAAAGACTCTGTCTGTAAAGTCTGCAAGTGATTACTTGGACCCCTTTGAGGACTTCGTTGGAAGCGGGATTTTTTCATTTACTGCTAGACAGAAGAATTCTCAGTAAATCCTTTGTGTTGTGTGTATTCAACTCACAGAGTGGAACCTTCCTTTATTCAGAGCACTTTTGAAACACTCTTTTTGTGGAATTTGCAAGTGGAGATTTCAAGCGAATTCACGCCAATCTTAGACATGGAAACATCTTCGTATTAAAAGTACACAGAGTCATTCGCAGAAACTAGTTTGTGATGTGTGCCTTCAACTCACGGAGTTTAACCTTTCTTTTCATAGAGCAGTTTGGAAACACTCTATTTGTAAAGTCTGCAAGTGGATATTTGGACCTCTTTGTGGCCTTCGTTGGAAACGGGATTTCTTCATATAACGCTAGACAGAAGAATTCTCAGTAACTTCTTTGTGTTGTGTGTATTCAACTCACAGAGTTGAACCTTTCTTGAGAGAGAGCAGAGTTGAAACACTCTGTTTGTGGAATTTGCTAGTGCAGATTTCAAACGCTTCGAAGACAGTGATAGAAAAGGATATATCTTCGTATTAAAACTAGACAAAATCATTCTCAGAAAACACTTTGTGATGTGTGTGTTCAACTCACAGAGTTTAACCTTTCTTTAATCGAGCAGTTTGGAAATACACTCTTTGTAAGTCTGCAGCTGGATAATTGTCCCTCTATGAGCCCTTCGTTGGAAACGGGATTTCCTCTTATAATGCTAGACAGAAGAATTCTCAGTCACTTCTTTGTGTTGTGTGTATTCAAGTCACAGAGTTGAACCTTCCTTTACACAGAGCAGTTTTGAAAAACTCTTTCTGTGGAATTTGCAAGTGGAGATTTCAAGCGATTTGAGGCTAATCTTTGGAATGGAAATAGCTTCGTGTAAAAACTACACAGAATCATTCTCAGAAACTGCTTTGTCATCTGTGCGTTCAGTTCACAGAGTTTCACCTTTCTCTTCATAGAGCAGTTTGGAAAGACTCTGTCTGTAAAGTCTGCAAGTGATTAGTTAGACCCCTTTGAGGCCTTCGTTGGAAGCGGGATTTCTCATTTACTGCTAGACAGAAGAATTCTCAGTAAATCCTTTGTGTTGTGTGTATTCAACTCACAGAGTGGAACCTTCCTTTATTCAGAGCAGTTTTGAAACACTCTTTTTGTGGAATTTGCAAGTGGAGATTTCAAGCGATTTGACGCCAATCTTAGACATGGAAATATCTTCATATTAAAAGTACACAGAGTCATTCGTAGAAACTAGTTTGTGATGTGTGCCTTCAACTCACAGAGTTTAACCTTTCTTTTCATAGAGCAGTTGGGAAACACTCTATTTGTAAAGTCTGCAAGTGGATATTTGGACCTCTTTGAGGCCTTCGTTGGAAACGGGATTTCTTCATATAACGCTAGACAGAAGAATTCTCAGTAACTTCTTTGTGTTGTGTGTATTCAACTCACAGAGTTGAACCTTTCTTTAGAGGGAGCAGAGGTGAAACACTCTTTTTGTGGAATTTGCTAGTGTAGATTTCAAACGCTTCGAAGACAGTGATAGAAAAGGATATATCTTCGTATTAAAAGTAGACAAATTCATTCTCAGAAAACTCTTTGTGATGTGTGTGTTCAACTCACAGAGTTTAACCTTTCTTTAATCGAGCAGTTTGGAAATACACTCTTTGTAAGTCTGCAGGTGGATATTTGGCCCTCTTTGAGCCCTTCTTTGGAAACGGGATTTCCTCTTATAATGCTAGACAGAAGAATTCTCAGTAACTTCTTTGTGTTGTGTGTATTCAACTCACAGAGTTGAACCTTTCTTGAGAGAGAGCAGAGTTGAAACACTCTGTTTGTGGAATTTGCTAGTGCAGATTTCAAACGCTTCGAAGACAGTGATAGAAAAGGATATATCTTCGTATTAAAACTAGACAAAATCATTCTCAGAAAACACTTTGTGATGTGTGCGTTCAACTCACAGAGTTTAACCTTTCTTTAATCGAGCAGTTTGGAAATACACTCTTTGTAAGTCTGCAGCTGGATAATTGTCCCTCTATGAGCCCTTCGTTGGAAACGGGATTTCCTCTTATAATGCTAGACAGAAGAATTCTCAGTCACTTCTTTGTGTTGTGTGTATTCAAGTCACAGAGTTGAACCTTCCTTTAGACAGAGCAGTTTTGAAAAATTCTTTCTGTGGAATTTGCAAGTGGAGATTTCAAGCGATTTGAGGCTAATCTTTGAAATGGAAATATCTTCGTGTAAAAACTACACAGAATCATTCTCAGAAACTGCTTTGTCATCTGTGCGTTCAGTTCACAGTAGTTTCACCTTTCTCTTCATAGAGCAGTTTGGAAAGACTCTGTCTGTAAAGTCTGCAAGTGATTAGTTAGACCCCTTTGAGGCCTTCGTTGGAAGCGGGATTTCTCATTTACTGCTAGACAGAAGAATTCTCAGTAAATCCTTTGTGTTGTGTGTATTCAACTCACAGAGTGGAACCTTCCTTTATTCAGAGCAGTTTTGAAACACTCTTTTTGTGGAATTTGCAAGTGGAGATTTCAAGCGATTTGACGCCAATCTTAGACATGGAAATATCTTCATATTAAAAGTACACAGAGTCATTCGTAGAAACTAGTTTGTGATGTGTGCCTTCAACTCACAGAGTTTAACCTTTCTTTTCATAGAGCAGTTGGGAAACACTCTATTTGTAAAGTCTGCAAGTGGATATTTGGACCTCTTTGAGGCCTTCGTTGGAAACGGGATTTCTTCATATAACGCTAGACAGAAGAATTCTCAGTAACTTCTTTGTGTTGTGTGTATTCAACTCACAGAGTTGAACCTTTCTTTAGAGGGAGCAGAGGTGAAACAGTCTTTTTGTGGAATTTGCTAGTGTAGATTTCAAACGCTTCGAAGTCAGTGATAGAAAAGGATATATCTTCGTATTAAGAGTAGACAAAATCATTCTCAGAAAACTCTTTGTGATGTGTGTGTTCAACTCACAGAGTTTAACCTTTCTTTAATCGAGCAGTTTGGAAATACACTCTTTGTAAGTCTGCAGGTGGATATTTGGCCCTCTTTGAGCCCTTCTTTGGAAACGGGATTTCCTCTTATAATGCTAGACAGAAGAATTCTCAGTAACTTCTCTGTGTTGTTTGTATTCAACACACAGATTTGAACCTTCCTTTAGAGAGAGCAGATTTGAGACACTCTGTTTTTGGAATTTGCAAGTGCAGATTTCAAGCACTTCTAGGCCTATGGCAGAAAAGGAAATATCTTCGTATAAAAACTACACAGAATCATTCTCAACAACTACTTTGTGATGTGTGCGTTCAACTCACAGAGTTTAACCTTTCTTTTCATAGAGCAGTTTGGAAACACTCTGTTTGTAAAGCCTGCAAGTGCTTTTTTGGAGTTCATTGAGGCCTTCGTTGGAAAGGGGATTTCTTCATACAACGCTAGACAGAAGAATTCTCAGTTACTTCTTTGTGTTGTGTGTATTCAACTCACAGAGTTGAACCTTTCTTTAGAGAGAGCAGAGTTGAAACACTCTGTTTTTGGAATTTGCAAGTGCAGATTTCAAGCGATTCTAGGCCTATGGCAGAAAAGGAAATATCTTCGTATAAAAACTACACAGAATCATTCTCAACAACTACTTTGTGATGTGTGCGTTCAACTCACAGAGTTTAACCTTTCTTTTCATAGAGCAGTTTGGAAACACTCTGTTTGTAAAGCCTGCAAGTGCTTTTTTGGACTTCATTGAGGCCTTCGTTGGAAACGGGATTTCTTCATATAATGCTAGACAGAAGAATTCTCAGTCACTTCTTTGTGTTGTGTGTATTCAAGTCACAGAGTTGAACCTTCTTTTAGCAGAGCAGTTTTGAAAAATTCTTTCTATGGAATTTGCAAGTGGAGATTTCAAGCGATTTGAGGCTAATCTTTGAAATGGAAATATCTTCGTGTAAAAACTACACAGAATCATTCTCAGAAACTGCTTTGTTATCTGTGCGTTCAGTTCACAGAGTTTCACCTTTCTCTTCATAGAGCAGTTTGGAAAGACTCTGTCTGTAAGTCTGCAAGTGATTAGTTAGACCCCTTTGAGGCCTTCGTTGGAAGCGGGATTTCTCATTTACTGCTAGACAGAAGAATTCTCAGTAAATCCTTTGTGTTGTGTGTATTCAACTCACAGAGTGGAACCTTCCTTTATTCAGAGCAGTTTTGAAACACTCTTTTTGTGGAATTTGCAAGTGGAGATTTCAAGCGATTTGACGCCAATCTTAGACATGGAAATATCTTCATATTAAAAGTACACAGAGTCATTCGTAGAAACTAGTTTGTGATGTGTGCCTTCAACTCACAGAGTTTAACCTTTCTTTTCATAGAGCAGTTTGGAAACACTCTATTTGTAAAGTCTGCAAGTGGATATTTGGACCTCTTTGAGGCCTTCGTTGGAAACGGGATTTCTTCATACAACGCTAGACAGAAGAATTCTCAGTAACTTCTTTGTGTTGTGTGTATTCAACTCACAGAGTTGAACCTTTCTTTAGAGGGAGCAGAGGTGAAACACTCTTTTTGTGGAATTTGCTAGTGTAGATTTCAAACGCTTCGAAGACAGTGATAGAAAAGGATATATCTTCGTATTAAAAGTAGACAAAATCATTCTCAGAAAACTCTTTGTGATGTGTGTGTTCAACTCACAGAGTTTAACCTTTCTTTAATCGAGCAGTTTGGAAATACACTCTTTGTAAGTCTGCAGGTGGATATTTGGCCCTCTTTGAGCCCTTCGTTGGAAACGGGATTTCCTCATATAATGCTAGACAGAAGAATTCTCAGTAACTTCTTTGTGTTGTTTGTATTCAACACACAGATTTGAACCTTCCTTTAGAGAGAGCAGATTTGAAACACTCTGTTTTTGGAATTTGCAAGTGCAGATTTCAAGCGCTTTCTAGGCCTATGGCAGAAAAGGAAATATCTTCGTATAAAAACTACACAGAATCATTCTCAACAACTACTTTGTGATGGGTGCGTTCAACTCACAGAGGTTAACCTTTCTTTTCATAGAGCAGTTTGGAAACACTCTGTTTGTAAAGCCTGCAAGTGCTTTTTTGGACTTCATTGAGGCCTTCGTTGGAAACGGGATTTCTTCATATAATGCTAGACAGAAGAATTCTCAGTCACTTCTTTGTGTTGTGTGTATTCAAGTCACAGAGTTGAACCTTCCTTTACACAGAGCAGTTTTGAAAAACTCTTTCTGTGGAATTTGCAAGTGGAGATTTCAAGCGATTTGAGGCTAATCTTTGAAATGGAAATATCTTCGTGTAAAAACTACACAGAATCATTCTCAGAAACTGCTTTGTTATGTGTGCGTTCAGCTCACAGAGTTCCACCTTTCTTTTCATAGAGCAGTTTGGAAAGACTCTGTCTGTAAAGTCTGCAAGTGATTACTTGGACCCCTTTGAGGACTTCGTTGGAAGCGGGATTTTTTCATTTACTGCTAGACAGAAGAATTCTCAGTAAATCCTTTGTGTTGTGTGTATTCAACTCACAGAGTGGAACCTTCCTTTATTCAGAGCAGTTTTGAAACACTCTTTTTGTGGAATTTGCAAGTGGAGATTTCAAGCGAATTCACGCCAATCTTAGACATGGAAACATCTTCGTATTAAAAGTACACAGAGTCATTCGCAGAAACTAGTTTGTGATGTGTGCCTTCAACTCACAGAGTTTAACCTTTCTTTTCATAGAGCAGTTTGGAAACACTCTATTTGTAAAGTCTGCAAGTGGATATTTGGACCTCTTTGAGGCCTTCGTTGGAAACGGGATTTCTTCATATAACGCTAGACAGAAGAATTCTCAGTAACTTCTTTGTGTTGTGTGTATTCCACTCACAGAGTTGAAACTTTCTTGAGAGAGAGCAGAGTTGAAACACTCTGTTTGTGGAATTTGCTAGTGCAGATTTCAAACGCTTCGAAGACAGTGATAGAAAAGGATATATCTTCGTATTAAAACTAGACAAAATCATTCTCAGAAAACACTTTGTGATGTGTGTGTTCAACTCACAGAGTTTAACCTTTCTTTAATCGAGCAGTTTGGAAATACACTCTTTGTAAGTCTGCAGCTGGATAATTGTCCCTCTATGAGCCCTTCGTTGGAAACGGGATTTCCTCATATAATGCTAGACAGAAGAATTCTCAGTAACTTCTTTGTGTTGTGTGTATTCAACTCACCGAGTTGAACCTTTCTTTAGAGAGAGCAGAGTTGAAACACTCTTCTTGTGGAATTTGCTAGTGCAGATTTCAAAAGCTTCGAAGACAGTGATAGAAAAGGATATATCTTCGTATTAAAACTAGACAAAATCATTCTCAACAACTACTTTGTGATGTGTGCGTTCCAATTCTCACAGAAGTTTAACCTTTCTTTTCATAGAGCAGTTTGGAAAAACTCTGTTTGTAAAGTCTGCAGGTGCTTATTTGGACTTCTTTGAGGCCTTCGTTGGAAACGGGATTTCTTCATATAATGCTAGACAGAAGAATTCTCAGTCACTTCTTTGTGTTGTGTGTATTCAAGTCACAGAGTTGAACCTTCCTTTACACAGAGCAGTTTTGAAAACCTCTTTCTGTGGAATTTGCAAGTGGAGATTTCAAGCGATTTGAGGCTAATCTTTGAAATGGAAATATCTTCGTGTAAAATCTACACAGAATCATTCTCAGAAACTGCTTTGTTATGTGTGCGTTCAGCTCACAGAGTTCCACCTTTCTTTTCATAGAGCAGTTTGGAAAGACTCTGTCTGTAAAGTCTGCAAGTGATTACTTGGACCCCTTTGAGGACTTCGTTGGAAGCGGGATTTTTTCATTTACTGCTAGACAGAAGAATTCTCAGTAAATCCTTTGTGTTGTGTGTATTCAACTCACAGAGTGGAACCTTCCTTTATTCAGAGCAGTTTTGAAACACTCTTTTTGTGGAATTTGCAAGTGGAGATTTCAAGCGAATTCACGCCAATCTTAGACATGGAAACATCTTCGTATTAAAAGTACACAGAGTCATTCGCAGAAACTAGTTTGTGATGTGTGCCTTCAACTCACAGAGTTTAACCTTTCTTTTCATAGAGCAGTTTGGAAACACTCTATTTGTAAAGTCTGCAAGTGGATATTTGGACCTCTTTGAGGCCTTCGTTGGAAACGGGATTTCTTCATATAACGCTAGACAGAAGAATTCTCAGTAACTTCTTTGTGTTGTGTGTATTCCACTCACAGAGTTGAACCTTTCTTGAGAGAGAGCAGAGTTGAAACACTCTGTTTGTGGAATTTGCTAGTGCAGATTTCAAACGCTTCGAAGACAGTGATAGAAAAGGATATATCTTCGTATTAAAACTAGACAAAATCATTCTCAGAAAACACTTTGTGATGTGTGTGTTCAACTCACAGAGTTTAACCTTTCTTTAATCGAGCAGTTTGGAAATACACTCTTTGTAAGTCTGCAGCTGGATAATTGTCCCTCTATGAGCCCTTCGTTGGAAACGGGATTTCCTCATATAATGCTAGACAGAAGAATTCTCAGTCACTTCTTTGTGTTGTGTGTATTCAAGTCACAGAGTTGAACCTTCCTTTACACAGAGCAGTTTTGAAAAACTCTTTCTGTGGAATTTGCAAGTGGAGATTTCAAGCGATTTGAGGCTAATCTTTGAAATGGAAATATCTTCGTGTAAAAACTACACAGAATCATTGTCAGAAACTGCTTTGTTATGTGTGCGTTCAGCTCACAGAGTTCCACCTTTCTTTTCATAGAGCAGTTTGGAAAGACTCTGTCTGTAAAGTCTGCAAGTGATTACTTGGACCCCTTTGAGGACTTCGTTGGAAGCGGGATTTTTTCATTTACTGCTAGACAGAAGAATTCTCAGTAAATCCTTTGTGTTGTGTGTATTCAACTCACAGAGTGGAACCTTCCTTTATTCAGAGCAGTTTTGAAACACTCTTTTTGTGGAATTTGCAAGTGGAGATTTCAAGCGAATTCACGCCAATCTTAGACATGGAAACATCTTCGTATTAAAAGTACACAGAGTCATTCGCAGAAACTAGTTTGTGATGTGTGCGTTCAACTCACAGAGTTTAACCTTTCTTTTCATAGAGCAGTTTGGAAACACTCTGTTTGTAAAGTCTGCAGGTGCTTATTTGGACTTCTTTGAGGCCTTCATTGGAAACGGGATTTCTTCATATAATGCTAGACAGAAGAATTCTCAGTAACTTCTTTGTGTTGTGTGTATTCAAGTCACAGAGTTGAACCTTCCTTTAGACAGAGCAGTTTTGAAAAATTCTTTCTGTGTAATTTGCAAGTGGAGATTTCAAGCGATTTGAGGCTAATCTTTGAAATGGAAATATCTTCGTGTAAAAACTACACAGAATCATTCTCAGAAACTGCTTTGTCATCTGTGCGTTCAGTTCACAGAGTTTCACCTTTCTCTTCATAGAGCAGTTTGGAAAGACTCTGTCTGTAAAGTCTGCAAGTGATTAGTTAGACCCCTTTGAGGCCTTCGTTGGAAGCGGGATTTCTCATTTACTGCTAGACAGAAGAATTCTCAGTAAATCCTTTGTGTTGTGTGTATTCAACTCACAGAGTGGAACCTTCCTTTATTCAGAGCAGTTTTGAAAAACACTTTTTGTGGAATTTGCAAGTGGAGATTTCAAGCGATTTGACGCCAATCTTAGACATGGAAATGTCTTCATATTAAAAGTACACAGAGTCATTCGTAGAAACTAGTTTGTGATGTGTGCCTTCAACTCACAGAGTTTAACCTTTCTTTTCATAGAGCAGTTTGGAAACACTCTATTTGTAAAGTCTGCAAGTGGATATTTGGACCTCTTTGAGGCCTTCGTTGGAAACGGGATTTCTTCATACAACGCTAGACAGAAGAATTCTCAGTAACTTCTTTGTGTTGTGTGTATTCAACTCACAGAGTTGAACCTTTCTTTAGAGAGAGCAGAGTTGAAACTCTCTGTTTTTGGAATTTGCAAGGGCAGATTTCAAGCGATTCCAGGCCTATGGCAGAAAAGGAAATATCTTCGTATAAAAACTACACAGAATCATTCTCAACAACTACTTTGTGATGTGTGCGCTCCACTCACAAAGTTTAACCTTTCTTTTCATAGAGCAGTTTGGAAACACTCTGCTTGTAAAGCCTGCCAGTGCCTTTTTCGACTTCATTGAGGCCTTCGTTGGAAACGGGATTTCTTCATATAATGCTAGACAGAAGAATTCTCAGTCACTTCTTTGTGTTGTGTGTATTCAAGTCACAGAGTTGAACCTTCCTTTAGACAGAGCAGTTTTGAAACACTCTTTTTGTGGAATTTGCAAGTGGAGATTTCAAGCGATTTGACGCCAATCTTAGACATGGAAATATCTTCATATTAAAAGTACACAGAATCATTCGTAGAAACTAGTTTGTGATGTGTGCCTTCAACTCACAGAGTTTAACCTTTCTTTTCATAGAGCAGTTCGGAAACACTCTATTTGTAAAGTCTGCAAGTGGATATTTGGACCTCTTTGAGGCCTTCGTTGGAAAAGGGATTTCTTCGTATAACGCTAGACAGAAGAATTCTCAGTAACTTCTCTGTGTTGTTTGTATTCAACACACAGATTTGAACCTTCCTTTAGAGAGAGCAGATTTGAAACACTCTGTTTTTGGAATTTGCAAGTGCAGATTTCAAGCACTTCTAGGCCTATGGCAGAAAAGGAAATATCTTCGTATAAAAACTACACAGAATCATTCTCAACAACTACTTTGTGATGTGTGCGTTCAACTCACAGAGTTTAACCTTTCTTTTCATAGAGCAGTTTGGAAACACTCTGTTTGTAAAGTCTGCAGGTGCTTATTTGGACTTCTTTGAGGCCTTCGTTGGAAACGGGATTTCTTCATATAATGCTAGACAGAAGAATTCTCAGTCACTTCTTTGTGTTGTGTGTATTCAAGTCACAGAGTTGAACCTTCCTTTACACAGAGCAGTTTTGAAAAACTCTTTCTGTGGAATTTGCAAGTGGAGATTTCAAGCGATTTGAGGCTAATCTTTGAAATGGAAATATCTTCGTGTAAAAACTACACAGAATCATTGTCAGAAACTGCTTTGTTATGTGTGCGTTCAGCTCACAGAGTTCCACCTTTCTTTTCATAGAGCAGTTTGGAAAGACTCTGTCTGTAAAGTCTGCAAGTGATTACTTGGACCCCTTTGAGGACTTCGTTGGAAGCGGGATTTTTTCATTTACTGCTAGACAGAAGAATTCTCAGTAAATCCTTTGTGTTGTGTGTATTCAACTCACAGAGTGGAACCTTCCTTTATTCAGAGCAGTTTTGAAACACTCTTTTTGTGGAATTTGCAAGTGGAGATTTCAAGCGAATTCACGCCAATCTTAGACATGGAAACATCTTCGTATTAAAAGTACACAGAGTCATTCGCAGAAACTAGTTTGTGATGTGTGCCTTCAACTCACAGAGTTTAACCTTTCTTTTCATAGAGCAGTTTGGAAACACTCTATTTGTAAAGTCTGCAAGTGGATATTTGGACGTCTTTGCGGCCTTCGTTGGAAACGGGATTTCTTCATATAACGCTAGACAGAAGGAATTCTCAGTAACTTCTTTGTGTTGTGTGTATTCCACTCACAGAGTTGAACCTTTCTTGAGAGAGAGCAGAGTTGAAACACTCTGTTTGTGGAATTTGCTAGTGCAGATTTCAAACGCTTCGAAGACAGTGATAGAAAAGGATATATCTTCGTATTAAAACTAGACAAAATCATTCTCAGAAAACACTTTGTGATGTGTGTGTTCAACTCACAGAGTTTAACCTTTCTTTAATCGAGCAGTTTGGAAATACACTCTTTGTAAGTCTGCAGCTGGATAATTGTCCCTCTATGAGCCCTTCGTTGGAAACGGGATTTCCTCTTATAATGCTAGACAGAAGAATTCTCAGTAACTTCTTTGTGTTGTTTGTATTCAACTCACAGATTTGAACCTTCCTTTAGAGAGAGCAAATTTGAAACACTCTGTTTTTGGAATTTGCAAGTGCAGATTGCAAGCGCTTCTAGGCCTATGGCAGAAAATTAAATATCTTCGTATAAAAACTACACAGAATCATTCTCAACAACTACTTTGTGATGTGTGCGTTCAACTCACAGAGTTTAACCTTTCTTTTCATAGAGCAGTTTGGAAACACTCTGTTTGTAAAGTCTGCAGGTGCTTATTTGGACTTCTTTGAGGCCTTCGTTGGAAACGGGATTTCTTCATATAATGCTAGACAGAAGAATTCTCAGTCACTTCTTTGTGTTGTGTGTATTCAAGTCACAGAGTTGAACCTTCCATTACACAGAGCAGTTTTGAAAAACTCTTTCTGTGTAATTTGCAAGTGGAGATGTCAAGCGATTTGAGGCTAATCTTTGAAATGGAAATATCTTCGTGTAAAAACTACACAGAATCATTCTCAACAACTACTTTGTGATGTGTGCGTTCAACTCACAGAGTTTAACCTTTCTTTTCATAGAGCAGTTTGGAAACACTCTGTTTGTAAAGTCTGCAGGCGCTTATTTGGACTTCTTTGAGGCCTTCGTTGGAAACGGGATTTCTTCATACAATGCTAGACAGAAGAATTCTCAGTCACTTCTTTGTGTTGTGTGTATTCAAGTCACAGAGTTGAACCTTCCTTTACACAGAGCAGTTTTGAAAAACTCTTTCTGTGGAATTTGCAAGTGGAGATTTCAAGCGATTTGAGGCTAATCTTTGAAATGGAAATATCTTCTTATAAAAACTGCACAGAATCATTCTCAGAAACTGCTTTGTTATCTGTGCGTTCAGTTCACAGAGTTTCACTTTTCTCTTCATAGAGCAGTTTGGAAAGACTCTGTCTGTAAAGTCTGCAAGTGATTAGTTAGACCCCTTTGAGGCCTTCGTTGGAAGCGGGATTTCTCATTTACTGCTAGACAGAAGAATTCTCAGTAAATCCTTGGTGTTGTGTGTATTCAACTCACAGAGTTGAGCCTTCCTTTATTCAGAGAAGTTTTGAAAAACACTTTTTGTGGAATTTGCAAGTGGAGATTTCAAGCGATTTGACGCCAATCTTAGACGTGGAAATATCTTCATATTAAAAGTACACAGAGTCATTCTTAGAAACTAGTTTGTAAAGTGTGCCTTCAACTCACAGAGTTTAACCTTTCTTTTCATAGAGCAGTTTAGAAACACTCTATTTCTAAAGTCTGCAAGTAGATATTTGGACCTCTTTGAGGCCTTCGTTGGAAACGGGATTTCTTCATATAACGCTAGACAGAAGAATTCTCAGTAACTTCTTTGTGTTGTGTGTATTCCACTCACAGAGTTGAACCTTTCTTGAGAGAGAGCAGAGTGGAAACACTCTTTTTGTGGAATTTGCTAGTGCAGATTTCAAACGCTTCGAAGACAGTGATAGAAAAGGATATATCTTCGTATTAAAACTAGACAAAATCATTCTCAGAAAACACTTTGTGATGTGTGTGTTCAACTCACAGAGTTTAACCTTTCTTTAATCGAGCAGTTTGGAAATACACTCTTTGTAAGTCTGCAGGTGGATAATTGTCCCTCTATGAGCCCTTCGTTGGAAACGGGATTTCCTCATATAATGCTAGACAGAAGAATTCTCAGTCACTTCTTTGTGTTGTGTGTATTCAAGTCACAGAGTTGAACCTTCCTTTACACAGAGCAGTTTTGAAAAACTCTTTCTGTGGAATTTGCAAGTGGAGATTTCAAGCGATTTGAGGCTAATCTTTGAAATGGAAATATCTTCGTGTAAAAACTACACAGAATCATTCTCAGAAACTGCTTTGTTATGTGTGCGTTCAGCTCACAGAGTTCCACCTTTCTTTTCATAGAGCAGTTTGGAAAGACTCTGTCTGTAAAGTCTGCAAGTGATTACTTGGACCCCTTTGAGGACTTCGTTGGAAGCGGGATTTTTTCATTTACTGCTAGACAGAAGAATTCTCAGTAAATCCTTTGTGTTGTGTGTATTCAACTCACAGAGTGGAACCTTCCTTTATTCAGAGCAGTTTTGAAACACTCTTTTTGTGGAATTTGCAAGTGGAGATTTCAAGCGAATTCACGCCAATCTTAGACATGGAAACATCTTCGTATTAAAAGTACACAGAGTCATTCGCAGAAACTGGTTTGTGATGTGTGCCTTCAACTCACAGAGTTTAACCTTTCTTTTCATAGAGCAGTTTGGAAACACTCTATTTGTAAAGTCTGCAAGTGGATATTTGGACCTCTTTGAGGCCTTCGTTGGAAACGGGATTTCTTCATATAACGCTAGACAGAAGAATTCTCAGTAACTTCTTTGTGTTGTTTGTATTCCACTCACAGAGTTGAACCTTTCTTGAGAGAGAGCAGAGTTGAAACACTCTGTTTGTGGAATTTGCTAGTGCAGATTTCAAACGCTTCGAAGACAGTGATAGAAAAGGATATATCTTCGTATTAAAACTAGACAAAATCATTCTCAGAAAACACTTTGTGATGTGTGTGTTCAACTCACAGAGTTTAACCTTTCTTTAATCGAGCAGTTTGGAAATACACTCTTTGTAAGTCTGCAGCTGGATAATTGTCCCTCTATGAGCCCTTCGTTGGAAAAGGGATTTCCTCATATAATGCTAGACAGAAGAATTCTCAGTAACTTCTTTGTGTTGTTTGTATTCAACTCACAGATTTGAAGCTTCCTTTAGAGAGAGCAGATTTGAAACACTCTGTTTTTGGAATTTGCAAGTGCAGATTGCAAGCGCTTCTAGGCCTATGGCAGAAAAGGAAATATCTTCGTATAAAAACTACACAGAATCATTCTCAGAAACTGCTTTGTCATCTGTGCGTTCAGTTCACAGAGTTTCACCTTTCTCTTCATAGAGCAGTTTGGAAAGACTCTGTCTGTAAAGTCTGCAAGTGATTAGTTAGACCCCTTTGAGGCCTTCGTTGGAAGCGGGATTTCTCATTTACTGCTAGACAGAAGAATTCTCAGTAAATCCTTTGTGTTGTGTGTATTCAACTCACAGAGTGGAACCTTCCTTTATTCAGAGCAGTTTTGAAACACTCTTTTTGTGGAATTTGCAAGTGGAGATTTCAAGCGATTTGACGCCAATCTTAGACATGGAAATATCTTCATATTAAAAGTACACAGAGTCATTCGTAGAAACTAGTTTGTGATGTGTGCCTTCAACTCACAGAGTTTAACCTTTCTCTTCATAGAGCAGTTTGGAAACACTCTATTTGTAAAGTCTGCAAGTGGATATTTGGACCTCTTTGAGGCCTTCGTTGGAAAAGGAATTTCTTCATACAACGCTAGACAGAAGAATTCTCAGTAACTTCTTTGTGTTGTGTGTATTCAACTCACAGAGTTGAACCTTTCTTTAGAGAGAGCAGAGTTGAAACACTCTGTTTTTGGAATTTGCAAGTGCAGATTTCAAGCGATTCTAGGCCTATGGCAGAAAAGGAAATATCTTCGTATAAAAACTACACAGAATCATTCTCAGAAAACTCTTTGTGATGTGTGTGTTCAACTCACAGAGTTTAACCTTTCTTTAATCGAGCAGTTTGGAAATACACTCTTTGTAAGTCTGCAGGTGGATAATTGGCCCTCTTTGAGCCCTTCGTTGGAAACGGGATTTCCTCATATAATGCTAGACAGAAGAATTCTCAGTAACTTCTTTGTGTTGTTTGTATTCAACTCACAGATTTGAACCTTCCTTTAGAGAGAGCAGGTTTGAAACACTCTGTTTTTGGAATTTGCAAGTGCAGATTTCAAGCGCTTCTAGGCCTATGGCAGAAAAGGAAATATCTTCGTATAAAAACTACACAGAATCATTCTCAACAACTACTTTGTGATGTGTGCGTTCAACTCACAGAGTTTAACCTTTCTTTTCATAGAGCAGTTTGGAAACACTCTGTTTGTAAAGCCTGCAAGTGCTTTTTTGGACTTCATTGAGGCCTTCGTTGGAAACGGGATTTCTTCATATAATGCTAGACAGAAGAATTCTCAGTCACTTCTTTGTGTTGTGTGTATTCAAGTCACAGAGTTGAACCTTCCTTTAGACAGAGCAGTTTTGAAAAATTCTTTCTGTGGAGTTTGCAAGTGGAGATTTCAAGCGATTTGAGGCTAATCTTTGAAATGGAAATATCTTCGTGTAAAAACTACACAGAATCATTCTCAGAAACTGCTTTGTCATCAGTGCGTTCAGTTCACAGAGTTTCACCTTTCTCTTCATAGAGCAGTTTGGAAAGACTCTGTCTGTAAAGTCTGCAAGTGATTAGTTAGACCCCTTTGAGGCCTTCGTTGAAAGCGGGATTTCTCATTTACTGCTAGACAGAAGAATTCTCAGTAAATCCTTTGTGTTGTGTGTATTCAACTCACAGAGTGGAACCTTCCTTTATTCAGAGCAGTTTTGAAACACTCTTTTTGTGGAATTTGCAAGTGGAGATTTCAAGCGAATTCACGCCAATCTTAGACATGGAAACATCTTCGTATTAAAAGTACACAGAGTCATTCGCAGAAACTAGTTTGTGATGTGTGCCTTCAACTCACGGAGTTTAACCTTTCTTTTCATAGAGCAGTTTGGAAACACTCTATTTGTAAAGTCTGCAAGTGGATATTTGGACCTCTTTGAGGCCTTCGTTGGAAACGGGATTTCTTCATATAACGCTAGACAGAAGAATTCTCAGTAACTTCTTTTTGTTGTGTGTATTCAACTCACAGAGTTGAATCTTTCTTGAGAGAGAGCAGAGTTGAAACACTCTTTTTGTGGAATTTGCTAGTGCAGATTTCAAACGCTTCGAAGACAGTGATAGAAAAGGATATATCTTCGTATTAAAACTAATCGAAATCATTCTCAGAAAACACTTTGTGATGTGTGTGTTCAACTCACAGAGTTTAACCTTTCTTTAATCGAGCAGTTTGGAAATACACTCTTTGTAAGTCTGCAGCTGGATAATTGTCCCTCTATGAGCCCTTCGTTGGAAACGGGATTTCCTCTTATAATGCTAGACAGAAGAATTTTCAGTCACGTCTTTGTGTTGTGTGTATTCAAGTCACAGAGTTGAACCTTCCTTTACACAGAGCAGTTTTGAAAAACTCTTTCTGTGGAATTTGCAAGTGGAGATTTCAAGCGATTTGAGGCTAATCTTTGAAATGGAAATATCTTCGTGTAAAAATTACACAGAATCATTCTCAGAAACTGCTTTGTTATGTGTGCGTTCAGCTCACAGAGTTCCACCTTTCTTTTCATAGAGCAGTTTGGAAAGACTCTGTCTGTAAAGTCTGCAAGTGATTACTTGGACCTCTTTGAGGACTTCGTTGGAAGCGGGATTTTTTCATTTACTGCTAGACAGAAGAATTCTCAGTAAATCCTTTGTGTTGTGTGTATTCAACTCACAGAGTGGAACCTTCCTTTATTCAGAGCAGTTTTGAAACACTCTTTTTGTGGAATTTGCAAGTGGAGATTTCAAGCGATTTGACGCCAATCTTAGACATGGAAATATCTTCATATTAAAAGTACACAGAATCATTCGTAGAAACTAGTTTGTGATGTGTGCCTTCAACTCACAGAGTTTAACCTTTCTTTTCATAGAGCAGTTCGGAAACACTCTATTTGTAAAGTCTGCAAGTGGATATTTGGACCTCTTTGAGGCCATCGTTGGAAAAGGGATTTCTTCATATAACCGCTAGACAGAAGAATTTTCAGTAACTTCTTTGTGTTGTGTGTATTCAACTCACAGAGTTCAACTTTTCTTTAGAGAGAGCAGAGTTGAAAAACTCTTTTTGTGGAATTTGCTAGTGCAGATTTCAAACGCTTCGAAGACAGTGATAGCAAAGGATATATCTTCATATTAAAACTAGACAAAATCATTCTCAGAAAACACTTTGTGATGTGTGTGTTCAACTCACAGAGTTTAACCTTTCTTTAATCGAGCAGTTTGGAAATACACTCTTTGTAAGTCTGCAGGTGGATAATTGGCCCTCTTTGAGCCCTTCGTTGGAAACGGGATTTCCTCATATAATGCTAGACAGAAGAATTCTCAGTAACTTCTTTGTGTTGTTTGTATTCAACTCACAGATTTGAACCTTCCTTTAGAGAGAGCAGATTTGAAACACTCTGTTTTTGGAATTTGCAAGTGCAGATCTCAAGCGCTTCTAGGCCTATGGCAGAAAAGGAAATATCTTCGTAGAAAAACTACACAGAATCATTCTCAACAACTACTTTGTGATGTGTGCGTTCAACTCACAGAGTTTAACCTTTCTTTTCATAGAGCAGTTTGGAAACACTCTGTTTGTTAAGTCTGCAGGTGCTTATTTGGACTTCTTTGAGGCCTTCGTTGGAAACGGGATTTCTTCATATAATGCTAGACAGAAGAATTCTCAGTCACTTCTTTGTGTTGTGTGTATTCAAGTCACAGAGTTGAACCTTCCTTTACACAGAGCAGTTTTGAAAAACTCTTTCTGTGGAATTTGCAAGTGGAGATTTCAAGCGATTTGAGGCTAATCTTTGAAATGGAAATATCTTCGTGTAAAAACTACACAGAATCATTCTCAGAAACTGCTTTGTTATGTGTGCGTTCAGCTCACAGAGTTCCACCTTTCTTTTCATAGAGCAGTTTGGAAAGACTCTGTTTGTAAAGTCTGCAAGTGATTACTTGGACCCCTTTGAGGACTTCGTTGGAAGCGGGATTTTTTCATTTACTGCTAGACAGAAGAATTCTCAGTAAATCCTTTGTGTTGTGTGTATTCAACTCACAGAGTGGAACCTTCCTTTATTCAGAGCAGTTTTGAAAAACACTTTTTGTGGAATTTGCAAGTGGAGATTTCAAGCGATTTGACGCCAATCTTAGACATGGAAATATCTTCATATTAAAAGTACACAGAGTCATTCGTAGAAACTAGTTTGTGATGTGTGCCTTCAACTCACAGAGTTTAACCTTTCTTTTCATAGAGCAGTTTGGAAACACTCTATTTGTAAAGTCTGCAAGTGGATATTTGGACCTCTTTGAGGCCTTCGTTGGAAACGGGATTTCTTCATACAACGCTAGACAGAAGAATTCTCAGTAACTTCTTTGTGTTGTGTGTATTCAACTCACAGAGTTGAACCTTTCTTTAGAGAGAGCAGAGTTGAAACACTCTGTTTTTGGAATTTGCAAGTGCAGATTTCAAGCGATTCTAGGCCTATGGCAGAAAAGGAAATATCTTCGTATAAAAACTACACAGAATCATTCTCAACAACTACTTTGTGATGTGTGCGTTCAACTCACAGAGTTTAACCTTTCTTTTCATAGAGCAGTTTGGAAACACTCTGTTTGTAAAGCCTGCAAGTGCTTTTTTGGACTTCATTGAGGCCTTCGTTGGAAACGGGATTTCTTCATATAATGCTAGACAGAAGAATTCTCAGTCACTTCTTTGTGTTGTTTGTATTGAAGTCACAGAGTTGAACCTTCCTTTAGACAGAGCAGTTTTGAAAAATTCTTTCTGTGGAATTTGCAAGTGGAGATTTCAAGCGATTTGAGGCTAATCTTTGAAATGGAAATATTCTTCGTGTAAAAACTACACAGAAATCATTCTCAGAAACTGCTTTGTTATGTGTGCGTTCAGCTCACAGAGTTCCACCTTTCTTTTCATAGAGCAGTTTGGAAAGACTCTGTCTGTAAAGTCTGCAAGTGATTACTTGGACCCCTTTGAGGAGTTCGTTGGAAGCGGGATTTTTTCATTTACTGCTAGACAGAAGAATTCTCAGTAAATCCTTTGTGTTGTGTGTATTCAACTCACAGAGTGGAACCTTCCTTTATTCAGAGCAGTTTTGAAACACTCTTTTTGTGGAATTTGCAAGTGGAGATTTCAAGCGAATTCACGCCAATCTTAGACATGGAAACATCTTCGTATTAAAAGTACACAGAGTCATTCGCAGAAACTAGTTTGTGATGTGTGCCTTCAACTCACAGAGTTTAAGCTTTCTTTTCATAGAGCAGTTTGGAAACACTCTATTTGTAAAGTCTGCAAGTGGATATTTGGACCTCTTTGAGGCCTTCGTTGGAAACGGGATTTCTTCATATAACGCTAGACAGAAGAATTCTCTGTAACTTCTTTGTGTTGTGTGTATTCCACTCACAGAGTTGAACCTTCCTTGAGAGAGAGCAGAGTTGAAACACTCTTTCTGTGGAATTTGCTAGTGCAGATTTCAAACGCTTCGAAGACAGTGATAGAAAAGGATATATCTTCGTATTAAAACTAGACAAAATCATTCTCAGAAAACACTTTGTGATGTGTGTGTTCAACTCACAGAGTTTAACCTTTCTTTAATCGAGCAGTTTGGAAATGCACTCTTTGTAAGTCTGCAGGTGGATAATTGTCCCTCTATGAGCCCTTCGTTGGAAACGGGATTTCCTCATATAATGCTAGACAGAAGAATTCTCAGTCACTTCTTTGTGTTGTGTGTATTCAAGTCACAGAGTTGAACCTTCCTTTAGACAGAGCAGTTTTGAAAAATTCTTTCTGTGGAGTTTGCAAGTGGAGATTTCAAGCGATTTGAGGCTAATCTTTGAAATGGAAATATCTTCGTGTAAAAACTACACAGAATCATTCTCAGAAACTGCTTTGTCATCTGTGCGTTCAGTTCACAGAGTTTCACCTTTCTCTTCATAGAGCAGTTTGGAAAGACTCTGTCTGTAAAGTCTGCAAGTGATTAGTTAGACCCCTTTGAGGCCTTCGTTGGAAGCGGGATTTCTCATTTACTGCTAGACAGAAGAATTCTCAGTAAATCCTTTGTGTTGTGTGTATTCAACTCACAGAGTGGAACCTTCCTTTATTCAGAGCAGATTTGAAAAACACTTTTCGTGGAATTTGCAAGTGGAGATTTCAAGCGATTTGACGCCAATCTTAGACATGGAAATATCTTCATATTAAAAGTACACAGAGTCATTCGTAGAAACTAGTTTGTGATGTGTGCCTTCAACTCACAGAGTTTAACCTTTCTTTTCATAGAGCAGTTTGGAAACACTCTATTTGTAAAGTCTGCAAGTGGATATTTGGACCTCTTTGAGGCCTTCGTTGGAAACGGGATTTCTTCATACAACGCTAGACAGAAGAATTCTCAGTAACTTCTTTGTGTTGTGTGTATTCAACTCACAGAGTTGAACCTTTCTTTAGAGAGAGCAGAGTTGAAACACTCTGTTTTTGGAATTTGCAACTGCAGATTTCAAGCGATTCTAGGCCTATGGCAGAAAAGGAAATATCTTCGTATAAAAACTACACAGAATCATTCTCAACAACTACTTTGTGATGTGTGCGTTCAACTCACAGAGTTTAACCTTTCTTTTCATAGAGCAGTTTGGAAACACTCTGTTTGTAAAGCCTGCAAGTGCTTTTTTGGACTTCATTGAGGCCTTCGTTGGAAACGGGATTTCTTCATATAATGCTAGACAGAAGAATTCTCAGTCACTTCTTTGTGTTGTGTGTATTCAAGTCACAGAGTTGAACCTTCCTTTAGACAGAGCAGTTTTGAAAAATTCTTTCTGTGGAGTTTGCAAGTGGAGATTTCAAGCGATTTGAGGCTAATCTTTGAAATGGAAATATCTTCGTGTAAAAACTACACAGAATCATTCTCAGAAACTGCTTTGTCATCTGTGCGTTCAGTTCACAGAGTTTCACCTTTCTCTTCATAGAGCAGTTTGGAAAGACTCTGTCTGTAAAGTCTGCAAGTGATTAGTTAGACCCCTTTGAGGCCTTCGTTGGAAGCGGGATTTCTCATTTACTGCTAGACAGAAGAATTCTCAGTAAATCCTTTGTGTTGTGTGTATTCAACTCACAGAGTGGAACCTTCCTTTATTCAGAGCAGTTTTGAAACACTCTTTTTGTGGAATTTGCAAGTGGAGATTTCAAGCGATTTGACGCCAATCTTAGACATGGAAATATCTTCATATTAAAAGTACACAGAGTCATTCGTAGAAACTAGTTTGTGATGTGTGCCTTCAACTCACAGAGTTTAACCTTTCTTTTCATAGAGCAGTTGGGAAACACTCTATTTGTAAAGTCTGCAAGTGGATATTTGGACCTCTTTGAGGCCTTCGTTGGAAACGGGATTTCTTCATATAACGCTAGACAGAAGAATTCTCAGTAACTTCTTTGTGTTGTGTGTATTCAACTCACAGAGTTGAACCTTTCTTTAGAGGGAGCAGAGGTGAAACACTCTTTTTGTGGAATTTGCTAGTGTAGATTTCAAACGCTTCGAAGACAGTGATAGAAAAGGATATATCTTCGTATTAAAAGTAGACAAAATCATTCTCAGAAAACTCTTTGTGATGTGTGTGTTTAACTCACAGAGTTTAACCTTTCTTTAATCGAGCAGTTTGGAAATACACTCTTTGTAAGTCTGCAGGTGGATATTTGGCCCTCTTTGAGCCCTTCGTTGGAAACGGGATTTCCTCATATAATGCTAGACAGAAGAATTCTCAGTAACTTCTTTGTGTTGTTTGTATTCAACACACAGATTTGAACCTTCCTTTAGAGAGAGCAGATTTGAAACACTCTGTTTTTGGAATTTGCAAGTGCAGATTTCAAGCGCTTCTAGGCCTATGGCAGAAAAGGAAATATCTTCGTATAAAAACTACACAGAATCATTCTCAACAACTACTTTGTGATGTGTGCGTTCAACTCACAGAGTTTAACCTTTCTTTTCATAGAGCAGTTTGGAAACACTCTGTTTGTAAAGCCTGCAAGTGCTTTTTTGGACTTCATTGAGGCCTTCGTTGGAAACGGGATTTCTTCATATAATGCTAGACAGAAGAATTCTCAGTCACTTCTTTGTGTTGTGTGTATTCAAGTCACAGAGTTGAACCTTCCTTTAGACAGAGCAGTTTTGAAAAATTCTTTCTGTGGAGTTTGCAAGTGGAGATTTCAAGCGATTTGAGGCTAATCTTTGAAATGGAAATATCTTCGTGTAAAAACTACACAGAATCATTCTCAGAAACTGCTTTGTCATCTGTGCGTTCAGTTCACAGAGTTTCACCTTTCTCTTCATAGAGCAGTTTGGAAAGACTCTGTCTGTAAAGTCTGCAAGTGATTAGTTAGACCCCTTTGAGGCCTTCGTTGGAAGTGGGATTTCTCATTTACTGCTAGACAGAAGAATTCTCAGTAAATCCTTTGTGTTGTGTGTATTCAACTCACAGAGTGGAACCTTCCTTTATTCAGAGCAGTTTTGAAACACTCTTTTTGTGGAATTTGCAAGTGGAGATTTCAAGCGATTTGACGCCAATCTTAGACATGGAAATATCTTCATATTAAAAGTACACAGAGTCATTCGTAGAAACTAGTTTGTGATGTGTGCCTTCAACTCACAGAGTTTAACCTTTCTTTTCATAGAGCAGTTGGGAAACACTCTATTTGTAAAGTCTGCAAGTGGATATTTGGACCTCTTTGAGGCCTTCGTTGGAAACGGGATTTCTTCATATAACGCTAGACAGAAGAATTCTCAGTAACTTCTTTGTGTTGTGTGTATTCAACTCACAGAGTTGAACCTTTCTTTAGAGGGAGCAGTGGTGAAACACTCTTTTTGTGGAATTTGCTAGTGTAGATTTCAAACGCTTCGAAGACAGTGATAGAAAAGGATATATCTTCGTATTAAAAGTAGACAAAATCATTCTCAGAAAACTCTTTGTGATGTGTGTGTTCAACTCACAGAGTTTAACCTTTCTTTAATCGAGCAGTTTGGAAATACACTCTTTGTAAGTCTGCAGGTGGATATTTGGCCCTCTTTGAGCCCTTCGTTGGAAACGGGATTTCCTCATATAATGCTAGACAGAAGAATTCTCAGTAACTTCTTTGTGTTGTTTGTATTCAACACACAGATTTGAACCTTCCTTTAGAGAGAGCAGATTTGAAACACTCTGTTTTTGGAATTTGCAAGTGCAGATTTCAAGCGCTTCTAGGCCAATGGCAGAAAAGGAAATATCTTCGTATAAAAACTACACAGAATCATTCTCAGAAAACACTTTGTGATGTGTGTGTTCAACTCACAGAGTTTAACCTTTCTTTAATCGAGCAGTTTGGAAATACACTCTTTGTAAGTCTGCAGCTGGATAATTATCCCTCTATGAGCCCTTCGTTGCAAACGGGATTTCCTCATATAATGCTAGACAGAAGAATTCTCAGTCACTTCTTTGTGTTGTGTGTATTCAAGTCACAGAGTTGAACCTTCCTTTAGACAGAGCAGTTTTGAAAAATTCTTTCTGTGGAGTTTGCAAGTGGAGATTTCAAGCGATTTGAGGCTAATCTTTGAAATGGAAATATCTTCGTGTAAAAACTACACAGAATCATTCTCAGAAACTGCTTTGTTATGTGTGCGTTCAGCTCACAGAGTTCCACCTTTCTTTTCATAGAGCAGTTTGGAAAGACTCTGTCTGTAAAGTCTGCAAGTGATTACTTGGACCCCTTTGAGGACTTCGTTGGAAGCGGGATTTTTTCATTTACTGCTAGACAGAAGAATTCTCAGTAAATCCTTTGTGTTGTGTGTATTCAACTCACAGAGTGGAACCTTCCTTTATTCAGAGCAGTTTTGAAACACTCTTTTTGTGGAATTTGCAAGTGGAGATTTCAAGTGAATTCACGCCAATCTTAGACATGGAAACATCTTCGTATTAAAAGTACACAGAGTCATTCGCAGAAACTAGTTTGTGATGTGTGCCTTCAACTCACGGAGTTTAACCTTTCTTTTCATAGAGCAGTTTGGAAACACTCTATTTGTAATGTCTGCAAGTGGATATTTGGACCTCTTTGAGGCCTTCGTTGGAAACGGGATTTCTTCATATAACGCTAGACAGAAGAATTCTCAGTAACTTCTTTGTGTTGTTTGTATTCAACACACAGATTTGAACCTTCCTTTAGAGAGAGCAGATTTGAAACACTCTGTTTTTGGAATTTGCAAGTGTAGATTTCAAGCGCTTCTAGGCCTATGGCAGAAAAGGAAATATCTTCGTATAAAAACTACACAGAATCATTCTCAACAACTACTTTGTGATGTGTGCGTTCAACTCACAGAGTTTAACCTTTCTTTTCATAGAGCAGTTTGGAAACACTCTGTTTGTAAAGCGTGCAAGTGCTTTTTTGGACTTCATTGAGGCCTTCGTTGGAAACGGGATTTCTTCATACAACGCTAGACAGAAGAATTCTCAGTAACTTCTTTGTGTTGTGTGTATTCAACTCACAGAGTTGAACCTTTCTTTAGAGAGAACAGAGTTGAAACACTCTGTTTTTGGAATTTGCAAGTGCAGATTTCAAGCGATTCTAGGCCTATGGCAGAAAAGGAAATATCTTCGTATAAAAACTACACAGAATCATTCTCAACAACTACTTTGTGATGTGTGCGTTCAACTCACAGAGTTTAACCTTTCTTTTCATAGAGCAGTTTGGAAACACTCTGTTTGTAAAGACTGCAAGTGCTTTTTTGGACTTCATTGAGGCCTTCGTTGGAAACGGGATTTCTTCATATAATGCTAGACAGAAGAATTCTCAGTCACTTCTTTGTGTTGTGTGTATTCAAGTCACAGAGTTGAACCTTCCTTTAGACAGAGCAGTTTTGAAAAATTCTTTCTGTGTAATTTGCAAGTGGAGATTTCAAGCGATTTGAGGCTAATCTTTGAAATGGAAATATCTTCGTGTAAAAACTACACAGAATCATTGTCAGAAACTGCTTTGTTATGTGTGCGTTCAGCTCACAGAGTTCCACCTTTCTTTTCATAGAGCAGTTTGGAAAGACTCTGTCTGTAAAGTCTGCAAGTGATTACTTGGACCCCTTTGAGGACTTCGTTGGAAGCGGGATTTTTTCATTTACTGCTAGACAGAAGAATTCTCAGTAAATCCTTTGTGTTGTGTGTATTCAACTCACAGAGTGGAACCTTCCTTTATTCAGAGCAGTTTTGAAACACTCTTTTTGTGGAAATTGCAAGTGGAGATTTCAAGCGAATTCACGCCAATCTTAGACATGGAAACATCTTCGTATTAAAAGTACACAGAGTCATTCGCAGAAACTAGTTTGTGATGTGTGCCTTCAACTCACGGAGTTTAACCTTTCTTTTCATAGAGCAGTTTGGAAACACTCTCTTTGTAAAGTCTGCAAGGGGATATTTGGACCTCTTTGAGGCCTTCGTTGGAAACGGGATTTCTTCATATAACGCTAGACAGAAGAATTCTCAGTAACTTCTTTGTGTTGTGTGTATTCCACTCACAGAGTTGAACCTTTCTTGAGAGAGAGCAGAGTTGAAACACTCTTTCTGTGGAATTTGCTAGTGCAGATTTCAAACGCTTCGAAGACAGTGATAGAAAAGGATATATCTTCGTATTAAAACTAGACAAAAATCATTCTCAACAACTACTTTGTGATGTGTGCGCTCCACTCACAAAGTTTAACCTTTCTTTTCATAGAGCAGTTTGGAAACACTCTGCTTGTAAAGCCTGCCAGTGCCTTTTTCGACTTCATTGAGGCCTTCGTTGGAAACGGGATTTCTTCATATAATGCTAGACAGAAGAATTCTCAGTAAATCCTTTGTGTTGTGTTTATTCAACTCACAGAGTGGAACCTTCCTTTATTCAGAGCAGTTTTGAAACACTCTTTTTGTGGAATTTGCAAGTGGAGATTTCAAGCGATTTGACGCCAATCTTAGACATGGAAATATCTTCATATTAAAAGTACACAGAATCATTCGTAGAAACTAGTTTGTGATGTGTGCCTTCAACTCACAGAGTTTAACCTTTCTTTTCATAGAGCAGTTCGGAAACATTCTATTTGTAAAGTCTGCAAGTGGATATTTGGACCTCTTTGAGGCCTTCGTTGGAAAAGGGATTTCTTCATATAACGCTAGACAGAAGAATTCTCAGTAACTTCTTTGTGTTGTGTGTATTCAACTCACAGAGTTGAACCTTTCTTTAGAGAGAGCAGAGTTGAAACACTCTTTTTGTGGAATTTGCTAGTGCAGATTTCAAACGCTTCGAAGACAGTGATAGAAAAGGATATATCTTCGTATTAAAAGTAGACAAAATCATTCTCAGAAAACTCTTTGTGATGTGTGTGTTCAACTCACAGAGTTTAACCTTTCTTTTCATAGAGCAGTTTGGAAACACTCTGTTTGTAAAGCCTGCAAGTGCTTTTTTGTACTTCATTGAGGCCTTCGTTGGAAACGGGATTTCTTCATACAACGCTAGACAGAAGAATTCTCAGTAACTTCTTTGTGTTGTGTGTATTCAACTCACAGAGTTGAACCTTCCTTTAGACAGAGCAGTTTTGAAAAATTCTTTCTGTGTAATTTGCAAGTGGAGATTTCAAGCGATTTGAGGCTAATCTTTGAAATGGAAATATCTTCGTGTAAAAACTACACAGAATCATTCTCAGAAACTGCTTTGTTATGTGTGCGTTCAGCTCACAGAGTTCCACCTTTCTTTTCATAGAGCAGTTTGGAAAGACTCTGTCTGTAAAGTCTGCAAGTGATTACTTGGACCCCTTTGAGGACTTCGTTGGAAGCGGGATTTTTTCATTTACTGCTAGACAGAAGAATTCTCAGTAAATCCTTCGTGTTGTGTGTATTCAACTCACAGAGTGGAACCTTCCTTTATTCAGAGCAGTTTTGAAACACTCTTTGTGGAATTTGCAAGTGGAGATTTCAAGCGAATTCACGCCAATCATAGACATGGAAATATCTTCGTATTAAAAGTACACAGAGTCATTCGCAGAAACTAGTTTGTGATGTGTGCCTTCAACTCACAGAGTTTAACCTTTCTTTTCATAGAGCAGTTTGGAAACACTCTATTTGTAAAGTCTGCAAGTGGATATTTGGACCACTTTGAGGCCTTCGTTGGAAACGGGATTTCTTCATATAACGCTAGACAGAAGAATTCTCAGTAACTTCTTTGTGTTGTGTGTATTCAACTCACAGAGTTGAACCTTTCTTGAGAGAGAGCAGAGTTGAAACACTCTTTTTGTGGAATTTGCTAGTGTAGATTTCAAACGCTTCGAAGACAGTGATAGAAAAGGATATATCTTCGTATTAAAACTAGACAAAATCATTCTCAGAAAACACTTTGTGATGTGTGTGTTCAACTCACAGAGTTTAACCTTTCTGTAATCGAGCAGTTTGGAAATACACTCTTTGTAAGTCTGCAGGTGGATAATTGTCCCTCTATGAGCCCTTCGTTGGAAACGGGATTTCCTCATATAATGCTAGACAGAAGAATTCTCAGTCACTTCTTTGTGTTGTGTGTATTCAAGTCACAGAGTTGAACCTTCCTTTACACAGAGCAGTTTTGAAAAACTCTTTCTGTGGAATTTGCAAGTGGAGATTTCAAGCGATTTGAGGCTAATCTTTGAAATGGAAATATCTTCGTGTAAAAACTACACAGAATCATTCTCAGAAACTGCTTTGTTATGTGTGCGTTCAGCTCACAGAGTTCCACCTTTCTTTTCATAGAGCAGTTTGGAAAGACTCTGTCTGTAATGTCTGCAAGTGATTACTTGGACCCCTTTGAGGACTTCGTTGGAAGCGGGATTTTTTCATTTACTGCTAGACAGAAGAATTCTCAGTAAATCCTTTGTGTTGTGTGTATTCAACTCACAGAGTGGAACCTTCCTTTATTCAGAGCAGTTTTGAAACACTCTTTTTGTGGAATTTGCAAGTGGAGATTTCAAGCGAATTCACGCCAATCTTAGACATGGAAACATCTTCGTATTAAAAGTACACAGAGTCATTCGCAGAAACTAGTTTGTGATGTGTGCCTTCATCTCACAGAGTTTAAGCTTTCTTTTCATAGAGCAGTTTGGAAACACTCTATTTGTAAAGTCTGCAAGTGGATATTTGGACCTCTTTGAGGCCTTCGTTGGAAACGGGATTTCTTCATATAACGCTAGACAGAAGAATTCTCAGTAACTTCTTTGTGTTGTTTGTATTCAACACACAGATTTGAACCTTCCTTTAGAGAGAGCAGATTTGAAACACTCTGTTTTTGGAATTTGCAAGTGCAGATTTCAAGCGCTTCTAGGCCTATGGCAGAAAAGGAAATATCTTCGTATAAAAACTACACAGAATCATTCTCAACAACTACTTTGTGATGTGTGCGTTCAACTCACAGAGTTTAACCTTTCTTTTCATAGAGCAGTTTGGAAACACTCTGTTTGTAAAGCCTGCAAGTGCTTTTTTGGACTTCATTGAGGCCTTCGTTGGAAACGGGATTTCTTCATATAATGCTAGACAGAAGAATTCTCAGTCACTTCTTTGTGTTGTGTGTATTCAAGTCACAGAGTTGAACCTTCCTTTAGACAGAGCAGTTTTGAAAAATTCTTTCTGTGGAGTTTGCAAGTGGAGATTTCAAGCGATTTGAGGCTAATCTTTGAAATGGAAATATCTTTCGTGTAAAAACTACACAGAATCATTCTCAGAAACTGCTTTGTCATCTGTGCGTTCAGTTCACAGAGTTTCACCTTTCTCTTCATAGAGCAGTTTGGAAAGACTCTGTCTGTAAAGTCTGCAAGTGATTAGTTAGACCCCTTTGAGGCCTTCGTTGGAAGCGGGATTTCTCATTTACTGCTAGACAGAAGAATTCTCAGTAAATCCTTTGTGTTGTGTGTATTCAACTCACAGAGTGGAACCTTCCTTTATTCAGAGCAGCTTTGAAAAACACTTTTTGTGGAATTTGCAAGTGGAGATTTCAAGCGATTTGACGCCAATCTTAGACATGGAAATATCTTCATATTAAAAGTACACAGAGTCATTCGTAGAAACTGGTTTGTGATGTGTGCCTTCAACTCACAGAGTTTAACCTTTCTTTTCATAGAGCAGTTGGGAAACACTCTATTTGTAAAGTCTGCAAGTGGATATTTGGACCTCTTTGATGCCTTCGTTGGAAACGGGATTTCTTCATACAACGCTAGACAGAAGAATTCTCAGTAACTTCTTTGTGTTGTGTGTATTCAACTCACAGAGTTGAACCTTTCTTTAGAGGGAGCAGAGGTGAAATACTCTTTTTGTGGAATTTGCTAGTGTAGATTTCAAACGCTTCGAAGACAGTGATAGAAAAGGATATATCTTCGTATTAAAAGTAGACAAAATCATTCTCAGAAAACTCTTTGTGATGTGTGTGTTCAACTCACAGAGTTTAACCTTTCTTTAATCGAGCAGTTTGGAAATACACTCTTTGTAAGTCTGCAGGTGGATATTTGGCCCTCTTTGAGCCCTTCGATGGAAACGGGATTTCCTCATATAATGCTAGACAGAGAGATTCTCAGTCACTTCTTTGTGTTGTGTGTATTCAAGTCACAGAGTTGAACCTTCCTTTACACAGAGCAGTTTTGAAAAACTCTTTCTGTGGAATTTGCAAGTGGAGATTTCAAGCGATTTGAGGCTAATCTTTGAAATGGAAATATCTTCGTGTAAAAACTACACAGAATCATTCTCAGAAACTGCTTTGTTATGTGTGCGTTCAGCTCACAGAGTTCCACCTTTCTTTTCATAGAGCAGTTTGGAAAGACTCTGTCTGTAAAGTCTGCAAGTGATTACTTGGACCCCTTTGAGGACTTCGTTGGAAGCGGGATTTTTTCATTTACTGCTAGACAGAAGAATTCTCAGTAAATCCTTTGTGTTGTGTGTATTCAACTCACAGAGTGGAACCTTCCTTTATTCAGAGCAGTTTTGAAACACTCTTTTTGTGGAATTTGCAAGTGGAGATTTCAAGCGAATTCACGCCAATCTTAGACATGGAAACAACTTCGTATTAAAAGTACACAGAGTCATTCGCAGAAACTAGCTTGTAATGTGTGCCTTCAACTCACGGAGTTTAACCTTTCTTTTCATAGAGCAGTTTGGAAACACTCTATTTGTAAAGTCTGCAAGTGGATATTTGGACCTCTTTGAGGCCTTCGTTGGAAACGGGATTTCTTCATATAACGCTAGACAGAAGAATTCTCAGTAACTTCTTTGTGTTGTGTGTATTCAACTCACAGAGTTGAACCTTTCTTGAGAGAGAGCAGAGTTGAAACACTCTTTCTGTGGAATTTCCTAGTGCAGATTTCAAACGCTTCGAAGACAGTGATAGAAAAGGATATATCTTCGTATTAAAACTAGACAAAATCATTCTCAGAAAACACTTTGTGATGTGTGTGTTCAACTCACAGAGTTTAACCTTTCTTTAATCGAGCAGTTTCGAAAAACACTCTTTGTAAGTCTGCAGCTGGATAATTGTCCCTCTATGAGCCCTTCGTTGGAAACGGGATTTCCTCTTATAATGCTAGACAGAAGAATTCTCAGTCACTTCTTTGTGTTGTGTGTATTCAAGTCACAGAGTTGAACCTTCCTTTACACAGAGCAGTTTTGAAAAACTCTTTCTGTGGAATTTGCAAGTGGAGATTTCAAGCGATTTGGGGCTAATCTTTGAAATGGAAATATCTTCGTGTAAAAACTACACAGAATCATTCTCAGAAACTGCTTTGTCATCTGTGCGTTCAGTTCACAGAGTTTCACCTTTCTCTTCATAGAGCAGTTTGGAAAGACTCTGTCTGTAAAGTCTGCAAGTGATTAGTTAGACCCCTTTGAGGCCTTCGTTGGAAGCGGGATTTCTCATTTACTGCTAGACAGAAGAATTCTCAGTAAATCCTTTGTGTTGTGTGTATTCAACTCACAGAGTGGAACCTTCCTTTATTCAGAGCACTTTTGAAAAACACTTTTTGTGGAATTTGCAAGTGGAGATTTCAAGCGATTTGACGCCAATCTTAGACATGGAAATATCTTCATATTAAAAGTACACAGAGTCATTCGTAAAAACTAGTTTGTGATGTGTGCCTTCAACTCACAGAGTTTAACCTTTCTTTTCATAGAGCAGTTTGGAAACACTCTATTTGTAAAGTCTGCAAGTGGATATTTGGACCTCTTTGAGGCCTTCGTTGGAAACGGGATTTCTTCATACAACGCTAGACAGAAGAATTCTCAGTAACTTCTTTGTGTTGTGTGTATTCAACTCACAGAGTTGAACCTTTCTTTAGAGAGAGCAGAGTTGAAACACTCTGTTTTTGGAATTTGCAAGTGCAGATTTCAAGCGATTCTAGGCCTATGGCAGAAAAGGAAATATCTTCGTATAAAAACTACACAGAATCATTCTCAACAACTACTTTGTGATGTGTGCGTTCAACTCACAGAGTTTAACCTTTCTTTTCATAGTGCACTTATGAAACACTCTGTTTGTAAAGCCTGCAAGTGCTTTTTTGGACTTCATTGAGGCCTTCGTTGGAAACGGGATTTCTTCATATAATGCTAGACAGAAGAATTCTCAGTCACTTCTTTGTGTTGTGTGTATTCAAGTCACAGAGTTGAACCTTCCTTTAGACAGAGCAGTTTTGAAAAATTCTTTCTGTGGAGTTTGCAAGTGGAGATTTCAAGCGATTTGAGGCTAATCTTTGAAATGGAAATATCTTCGTGTAAAAACTACACAGAATCATTCTCAGAAACTGCTTTGTCATCTGTGCGTTCAGTTCACAGAGTTTCACCTTTCTCTTCATAGAGCAGTTTGGAAAGACTCTGTCTGTAAAGTCTGCAAGTGATTAGTTAGACCCCTTTGAGGCCTTCGTTGGAAGCGGGATTTCTCATTTACTGCTAGACAGAAGAATTCTCAGTAAATCCTTTGTGTTGTGTGTATTCAACTCACAGAGTGGAACCTTCCTTTATTCAGAGCAGTTTTGAAACACTCTTTTTGTGGAATTTGCAAGTGGAGATTTCAAGCGATTTGACGCCAATCTTAGACATGGAAATATCTTCATATTAAAAGTACACAGAGTCATTCGTAGAAACTAGTTTGTGATGTGTGCCTTCAACTCACAGAGTTTAACCTTTCTTTTCATAGAGCAGTTGGGAAACACTCTATTTGTAAAGTCTGCAAGTGGATATTTGGACCTCTTTGAGGCCTTCGTTGGAAACGGGATTTCTTCATATAACGCTAGACAGAAGAATTCTCAGTAACTTCTTTGTGTTGTGTGTATTCAACTCACAGAGTTGAACCTTTCTTTAGAGGGAGCAGAGGTGAGACACTCTTTTTGTGGAATTTGCAACTGCAGATTTCAAGCGATTCTTGGCCTATGGCAGAAAAGGAAATATCTTCGTATAAAAACTACACAGAGTCATTCTCAACAACTACTTTGTGATGTGTGCGTTCAACTCACAGAGTTTAACCTTTCTTTTCATAGAGCAGTTTGGAAACACTCTGTTTGTAAAGCCTGCAAGTGCTTTTTTGGACTTCATTGAGGCCTTCGTTGGAAACGGGATTTCTTCATATAATGCTAGACAGAAGAATTCTCAGTCACTTCTTTGTGTTGTGTGTATTCAAGTCACAGAGTTGAACCTTACTTTAGACAGAGCAGTTTTGAAAAATTCTTTCTGTGTAATTTGCAAGTGGAGATTTCAAGCGATTTGAGGCTAATCTTTGAAATGGAAATATCTTCGTGTAAAAACTACACAGAATCATTCTCAGAAACTGCTTTGTCATCTGTGCGTTCAGTTCACAGAGTTTCACCTTTCTCTTCATAGAGCAGTTTGGAAAGACTCTGTCTGTAAAGTCTGCAAGTGATTAGTTAGACCCCTTTGAGGCCTTCGTTGGAAGCGGGATTTCTCATTTACTGCTAGACAGAAGAATTCTCAGTAAATCCTTTGTGTTGTGTGTATTCAACTCACAGAGTGGAACCTTCCTTTATTCAGAGCAGTTTTGAAACACTCTTTTTGTGGAATTTGCAAGTGGAGATTTCAGGCGATTTGACGCCAATCTTAGACATGGAAATATCTTCATATTAAAAGTACACAGAGTCATTCGTAGAAACTAGTTTGTGATGTGTGCCTTCAACTCACAGAGTTTAACCTTTCTTTTCATAGAGCAGTTTGGAAACACTCTATTTGTAAAGTCTGCAAGTGGATATTTGGACCTCTTTGAGGCCTTCGTTGGAAACGGGATTTCTTCATACAACGCTAGACAGAAGAATTCTCAGTAACTTCTTTGTGTTGTGTGTATTCAACTCACAGAGTTGAACCTTTCTTTAGAGAGAGCAGAGTTGAAACACTCTGTTTTTGGAATTTGCAACTGCAGATTTCAAGCGATTCTAGGCCTATGGCAGAAAAGGAAATATCTTCGTATAAAAACTACACAGAGTCATTCTCAACAACTACTTTGTGATGTGTGCGTTCAACTCACAGAGTTTAACCTTTCTTTTCATAGAGCAGTTTGGAAACACTCTGTTTGTAAAGCCTGCAAGTGCTTTTTTGGACTTCATTGAGGCCTTCGTTGGAAACGGGATTTCTTCATATAATGCTAGACAGAAGAATTCTCAGTCACTTCTTTGTGTTGTGTGTATTCAAGTCACAGAGTTGAACCTTCCTTTACACAGAGCAGTTTTGAAAAACTCTTTCTGTGGAATTTGCAAGTGGAGATTTCAAGCGATTTGAGGCTAATCTTTGAAATGGAAATAGCTTCGTGTAAAAACTACACAGAATCATTCTCAGAAACTGCTTTGTTATCTGTGCGTTCAGTTCACAGAGTTTCACCTTTCTCTTCATAGAGCAGTTTGGAAAGACTCTGTCTGTAAAGTCTGCAAGTGATTAGTTAGTCCCCTTTGAGGACTTCGTTGGAAGCGGGATTTCTCATTTACTGCTAGACAGAAGAATTCTCAGTAAATCCTTTGTGTTGTGTGTATTCAACTCACAGAGTGGAACCTTCCTTTATTCAGAGCAGTTTTGAAAAACACTTTTTGTGGAATTTGCAAGTGGAGATTTCAAGCGATTTGACGCCAATCTTAGACATGGAAATATCTTCATATTAAAAGTACACAGAGTCATTCGTAGAAACTAGTTTGTGATGTGTGCCTTCAACTCACAGAGTTTAACCTTTCTTTTCATAGAGCAGTTTGGAAACACTCTATTTGTAAAGTCTGCAAGTGGATATTTGGACCTCTTTGAGGCCTTCGTTGGAAACGGGATTTCCTCATATAATGCTAGACAGAAGAATTCTCAGTAACTTCTTTGTGTTGTTTGTATTCAACACACAGATTTGAACCTTCCTTTAGAGAGAGCAGATTTGAAACACTCTGTTTTTGGAATTTGCAAGTGCAGATTTCAAGCGCTTCTAGGCCTATGGCAGAAAAGGAAATATCTTCGTATAAAAACTACACAGAATCATTCTCAACAACTACTTTGTGATGTGTGCGTTCAACTCACAGAGTTTAACCTTTCTTTTCATAGAGCAGTTTGGAAACACTCTGTTTGTAAAGCCTGCAAGTGCTTTTTTGGACTTCATTGAGGCCTTCGTTGGAAACGGGATTTCTTCATATAATGCTAGACAGAAGAATTCTCAGTCACTTCTTTGTGTTGTGTGTATTCAAGTCACAGAGTTGAACCTTCCTTTAGACAGAGCAGTTTTGAAAAATTCTTTCTGTGGAGTTTGCAAGTGGAGATTTCAAGCGATTTGAGGCTAATCTTTGAAATGGAAATATCTTCGTGTAAAAACTACACAGAATCATTCTCAGAAACTGCTTTGTCATCTGTGCGTTCAGTTCACAGAGTTTCACCTTTCTCTTCATAGAGCAGTTTGGAAAGACTCTGTCTGTAAAGTCTGCAAGTGATTAGTTAGACCCCTTTGAGGCCTTCGTTGGAAGCGGGATTTCTCATTTACTGCTAGACAGAAGAATTCTCAGTAAATCCTTTGTGTTGTGTGTATTCAACTCACAGAGTGGAACCTTCCTTTATTCAGAGCAGTTTTGAAAAACACTTTTTGTGGAATTTGCAAGTGGAGATTTCAAGCGATTTGACGCCAATCTTAGACATGGAAATATCTTCATATTAAAAGTACACAGAGTCATTCGTAGAAACTAGTTTGTGATGTGTGCCTTCAACTCACAGAGTTTAACCTTTCTTTTCATAGAGCAGTTTGGAAACACTCTATTTGTAAAGTCTGCAAGTGGATATTTGGACCTCTTTGAGGCCTTCGTTGGAAACGGGATTTCTTCATACAACGCTAGACAGAAGAATTCTCAGTAACTTCTTTGTGTTGTGTGTATTCAACTCACAGAGTTGAACCTTTCTTTAGAGAGAGCAGAGTTGAAACACTCTGTTTTTGGAATTTGCAACTGCAGATTTCAAGCGATTCTAGGCCTATGGCAGAAAAGGAAATATCTTCGTATAAAAACTACACAGAATCATTCTCAGAAAACACTTTGTGATGTGTGTGTTCAACTCACAGAGATTAACCTTTCTTTAATCGAGCAGTTTGGAAATACACTCTTTGTAAGTCTGCAGGTGGATCATTGGCCCTCTTTGAGCCCTTTGTTGGAAACGGGATTTCCTCATATAATGCTAGACAGAAGAATTCTCAGTTACTTCTTTGTGTTGTGTGTATTCAAGTCACAGAGTTGAACCTTCCTTTAGACAGAGCAGTTTTGAAAAATTCTTTCTGTGGAATTTGCAATTGGAGATTTTAAGAGATTTGAGGCTAATCTTTGGAATGGAAATATCTTCGTGTAAAAACTACACAGAATCATTCTCAGAAACTGCTTTGTTATCTGTGCGTTCAGTTCACAGAGTTTCACCTTTCTCTTCATAGAGCAGTTTGGAAAGACTCTGTAAAGTCTGCAAGTGATTAGTTAGACCCCATTGAGGCCTTCGTTGGAAGCGGGATTTCTCATTTACTGCTAGACAGAAGAATTCTCAGTAAATCCTTTGTGTTGTGTGTATTCAACTCACAGAGTGGAACCTTCCTTTATTCAGAGCAGTTTTGAAAAACACTTTTTGTGGAATTTGCAAGTGGAGATTTCAAGCGATTTGACGCCAATCTTAGACATGGAAATATCTTCATATTAAAAGTACACAGAGTCATTCGTAGAAACTAGTTTGTGATGTGTGCCTTCAACTCACAGAGTTTAACCTTTCTTTTCATAGAGCAGTTTGGAAACACTCTATTTGTAAAGTCTGCAAGTGGATATTTGGACCTCTTTGAGGCCTTCGTTGGAAATGGGATTTCTTCATACAACACTAGACAGAAGAATTCTCAGTAACTTCTTTGTGTTGTGTGTATTCAACTCACAGAGTTGAACCTTTCTTTAGAGAGAGCAGAGTTGAAACACTCTGTTTTTGGAATTTGCAAGTGCAGATTTCAAGCGATTCTAGGCCTATGGCAGGAAAGGAAATATCTTCGTATAAAAACTACACAGAATCATTCTCAACAACTACTTTGTGATGTGTGCGTTCAACTCACAAAGTTTAACCTTTCTTTTCATAGAGCAGTTTGGAAACACGCTGTTTGCAAAGCCTGCAAGTGCTTTTTTGGACTTCATTGAGGCCTTCGTTGGAAACGGGATTTCTTCATATAATGCTAGACAGAAGAATTCTCAGTCACTTCTTTGTGTTGTGTGTATTCAAGTCACAGAGTTGAACCTTCCTTTACACAGAGCAGTTTTGAAAAACTCTTTCTGTGGAATTTGCAAGTGGAGATTTCAAGCGATTTGAGGCTAATCTTTGAAATGGAAATAGCTTCGTGTAAAAACTACACAGAATCATTCTCAGAAACTGCTTTGTCATCTGTGCGTTCAGTTCACAGAGTTTCACCTTTCTCTTCATAGAGCAGTTTGGAAAGACTCTGTCTGTAAAGTCTGCAAGTGATTAGTTAGACCCCTTTGAGGCCTTCGTTGGAAGCGGGATTTCTCATTTACTGCTAGACAGAAGAATTCTCAGTAAATCCTTTGTGTTGTGTGTATTCAACTCACAGAGTGGAACCTTCCTTTATTCAGAGCAGTTTTGAAACACTCTTTTTGTGCAATTTGCAAGTGGAGATTTCAAGCGATTTGACGCCAATCTTAGACATGGAAATATCTTCATATTAAAAGTACACAGAGTCATTCGTAGAAACTAGTTTGTGATGTGTGCCTTCAACTCACAGAGTTTAACCTTTCTTTTCATAGAGCAGTTTGGAAACACTCTATTTGTAAAGTCTGCAAGTGGATATTTGGACCTCTTTGAGGCCTTCGTTGGAAACGGGATTTCTTCATATAACGCTAGACAGAAGAATTCTCAGTAACTTCTTTGTGTTGTGTGTATTCAACTCACAGAGTTGAACCTTTCTTGAGAGAGAGCAGAGTTGAAACACTCTGTTTGTGGAATTTGCTAGTGCAGATTTCAAACGCTTCGAAGACAGTGATAGAAAAGGATATATCTTCGTATTAAAACTAGACAAAGTCATTCGCAGAAACTAGTTTGTGATGTGTGCGTTCAACTCACAGAGTTTAACCTTTCTTTTCATAGAGCAGTTTGGAAACACTCTGTTTGTAAAGTCTGCAGGTGCTTATTTGGACTTCTTTGAGGCCTCCGTTGGAAACGGGATTTCTTCATATAATGCTAGACAGAAGAATTCTCAGTCACTTCTTTGTGTTGTGTGTATTCAAGTCACAGAGTTGAACCTTCCTTTAGACAGAGCAGTTTTGAAAAATTCTTTCTGTGGAGTTTGCAAGTGGAGATTTCAAGCGATTTGAGGCTAATCTTTGAAATGGAAATATCTTCGTGTAAAAACTACACAGAATCATTCTCAGAAACTGCTTTGTCATCTGTGCGTTCAGTTCACAGAGTTTCACCTTTCTCTTCATAGAGCAGTTTGGAAAGACTCTGTCTGTAAAGTCTGCAAGTGATTAGTTAGACCCCTTTGAGGCCTTCGTTGGAAGCGGGATTTCTCATTTACTGCTAGACAGAAGAATTCTCAGTAAATCCTTTGTGTTGTGTGTATTCAACTCACAGAGTGGAACCTTCCTTTATTCAGAGCAGTTTTGAAAAACACTTTTCGTGGAATTTGCAAGTGGAGATTTCAAGCGATTTGACTCCAATCTTAGACATGGAAATATCTTCATATTAAAAGTACACAGAGTCATTCGTAGAAACTAGTTTGTGATGTGTGCCTTCAACTCACAGAGTTTAACCTTTCTTTTCATAGAGCAGTTTGGAAACACTCTATTTGTAAAGTCTGCAAGTGGATATTTGGACCTCTTTGAGGCCTTCGTTGGAAACGGGATTTCCTCATATAATGCTAGACAGAAGAATTCTCAGTAACTTCTTTGTGTTGTTTGTATTCAACGCACAGATTTGAACCTTCTTTTAGAGAGAGCAGATTTGAAACACTCTGTTTTTGGAATTTGCAAGTACAGATTTCAAGCGCTTCTTGGCCTATGGCAGAAAAGGAAATATCTTCGTATAAAAATTACACAGAATCATTCTCAACAACTTCTTTGTGATGTGTGCGTTCAACTCACAGAGTTTAACCTTTCTTTTCATAGAGCAGTTTGGAAATACTCTGTTTGTAAAGCCTGCAAGTGCTTTTTTGGACTTCATTGAGGCCTTCGTTGGAAACGGGATTTCTTCACATAATGCTAGACAGAAGAATTCTCAGTCACTTCTTTGTGTTGTGTGTATTCAAGTCACAGAGTTGAACCTTCCTTTACACAGAGCAGTTTTGAAAAACTCTTTCTGTGGAATTTGCAAGTGGAGATTTCAAGCGATTTGAGGCTAATCTTTGAAATGGAAATATCTTCGTGTAAAAACTACACAGAATCATTCTCAGAAACTGCTTTGTTATGTGTGCGTTCAGCTCACAGAGTTCCACCTTTGTTTTCATAGAGCAGTTTGGAAAGACTCTGTCTGTAAAGTCTGCAAGTGATTACTTGGACCCCTTTGAGGACTTCGTTGGAAGCGGGATTTTTTCATTTACTGCTAGACAGAAGAATTATCAGTAAATCCTTTGTGTTGTGTGTATTCAACTCACAGAGTGGAACCTTCCTTTATTCAGAGCAGTTTTGAAACACTCTTTTTGTGGAATTTGCAAGTGGAGATTTCAAGCGATTTGACGCCAATCTTAGACATGGAAATATCTTCATATTAAAAGTACACAGAGTCATTCGTAGAAACTAGTTTGTGATGTGTGCCTTCAACTCACAGAGTTTAACCTTTCTTTTCATAGAGCAGTTGGGAAACACTCTATTTGTAAAGTCTGCAAGTGGATATTTGGACCTCTTTGAGGCCTTCTTTGGAAACGGGATTTCTTCATATAACGCTAGACAGAAGAATTCTCAGTAACTTCTTTGTGTTGTGTGTATTCAACTCACAGAGTTGAACCTTTCTTTAGAGGGAGCAGAGGTGAAACACTCTTTTTGTGGAATTTGCTAGTGTAGATTTCAAACGCTTCGAAGACAGTGATAGAAAAGGATATATCTTCGTATTAAAAGTAGACAAAATCATTCTCAGAAAACTCTTTGTGATGTGTGTGTTCAACTCACAGAGTTTAACCTTTCTTTAATCGAGCAGTTTGGAAATACACTCTTTGTAAGTCTGCAGGTGGATATTTGGCCCTCTTTGAGTCCTTCGTTGGAAACGGGATTTCCTCATATAATGCTAGACAGAAGAATTCTCAGTAACTTCTTTGTGTTGTTTGTATTCAACACACAGATTTGAACCTTCCTTTAGAGAGAGCAGATTTGAAACACTCTGTTTTTGGAATTTGCAAGTGCAGATTTCAAGCGCTTCTAGGCCTATGGCAGAAATGGAAATATCTTCGTATAAAAAGTACACAGAATCATTCTCAACAACTACTTTCTGATGTGTGCCGTTCAACTCACAGAGTTTAACCTTTCTTTTCATAGAGCATTTTGGAAACACTCTGTTTGTAAAGTCTGCAGGTGCTTATTTGGACTTCTTTGAGGCCTTCGTTGGAAACGGGATTTCTTCATATAATGCTAGACAGAAGAATTCTCAGTCACTTCTTTGTGTTGTGTGTATTCAAGTCACAGAGTTGAACCTTCCTTTAGACAGAGCAGTTTTGAAAAATTCTTTCTGTGGAATTTGCAAGTGGAGATTTCAAGCGATTTGAGGCTAATCTTTGAAATGGAAATATCTTCGTGTAAAAACTACACAGAATCATTCTCAGAAACTGCTTTGTTATGTGTGCGTTCAGCTCACAGAGTTCCACCTTTCTTTTCATAGAGCAGTTTGGAAAGACTCTGTCTGTAAAGTCTGCAAGTGATTACTTGGACCCCTTTGAGGACTTCGTTGGAAGCGGGATTTTTTCATTTACTGCTAGACAGAAGAATTCTCAGTAAATCCTTTGTGTTGTGTGTATTCAACTCACAGAGTGGAACCTTCCTTTGTTCAGAGCACTTTTGAAACACTCTTTTTGTGGAATTTGCAAGTGGAGATTTCAAGCGAATTCACGCCAATCTTAGACATGGAAACATCTTCGTATTAAAAGTACACAGAGTCATTTGCAGAAACTAGTTTGTGATGTGTGCCTTCAACTCACGGAGTTTAACCTTTCTTTTCATAGAGCAGTTTGGAAACACTCTATTTGTAAAGTCTGCAAGTGGATATTTGGACCTCTTTGAGGCCTTCGTTGGAAACGGGATTTCTTCATATAACGCTAGACAGAAGAATTCTCAGTAACTTCTTTGTGTTGTGTGTATTCAAGTCACAGAGTTGAACCTTCCTTTACACAGAGCAGTTTTGAAAAACTCTTTCTGTGGAATTTGCAAGTGGAGATTTCAAGCGATTTGAGGCTAATCTTTGAAATGGAAATAGCTTCGTGTAAAAACTACACAGAAGCATTCTCAGAAACTGCTTTGTCATCTGTGCGTTCAGTTCACAGAGTTTCACCTTTCTCTTCATAGAGCAGTTTGGAAAGACTCTGTCTTTAAAGTCTGCAAGTGATTAGACCCCTTTGAGGCCTTCGTTGGAAGCGGGATTTCTCATTAACTGCTAGACAGAAGAATTCTCAGTAAATCCTTTGTGTTGTGTGTATTCAACTCACAGAGTGGAACCTTCCTTTATTCAGAGCAGTTTTGAAAAACACTTTTTGTGGAATTTGCAAGTGGAGATTTCAAGCGATTTGACGCCAATCTTAGACATGGAAATATCTTCATATTAAAAGTACACAGAGTCATTCGTAGAAACTAGTTTGTGATGTGTGCCTTCAACTCACAGAGTTTAACATTTCTTTTCATAGAGCAGTTTGGAAACACTCTATTTGTAAAGTCTGCAAGTGGATATTTGGACCTCTTTGAGGCCTTCGTTGGAAACGGGATTTCTTCATACAACGCTAGACAGAAGAATTCTCAGTAACTTCTTTGTGTTGTGTGTATTCCACTCACAGAGTTGAACCTTTCTTGAGAGAGAGCAGAGTTGAAACACTCTGTTTGTGGAATTTGCTAGTGCAGATTTCAAACGCTTCGAAGACAGTGATAGAAAAGGATATATCTTCGTATTAAAACTAGACAAAATCATTCTCAACAACTACTTTGTGATGTGTGCCTTCAACTCACAGAGTTTAACCTTTCTTTTTCATAGAGCAGTTTGGAAACACTCTGTTTGTAAAGCCTGCAAGTGCTTTTTTGGACTTCATTGAGGTCTTCGTTGGAAACGGGATTTCTTCATATAATGCTAGACAGAGTAATTCTCAATCACTTCTTTGTGTTGTGTGTATTCAAGTAACAGAGTTGAACCTTCCTTTAGACAGAGCAGTTTTGAAAAATTCTTTCTGTGGAATTTGCAAGTGGAGATTTCAAGCGATTTGAGGCTAATCTTTGAAATGGAAATATCTTCGTATAAAAACTACACAGAATCATTCTCAGAAACTGCTTTGTTATCTGTGCGTTCAGTTCACAGACTTTCACTTTTCTCTTCATAGAGCAGTTTGGAAAGACTCTGTCTGTAAAGTCTGCAAGTGATTAGTTAGACCTCTTTGAGGCCTTCGTTGGAAGCGGGATGTCTCATTTACTGCTAGACAGAAGAATTCTCAGTAAATCCTTTGTGTTGTGTGTATTCAACTCACAGAGTGGAACCTTCCTTTATTCAGAGCAGTTTTGAAACACTCTTTTTGTGGAATTTGCAAGTGGAGATTTCAAGCGAATTCACGCCAATCTTAGACATGGAAACATCTTCGTATTAAAAGTACACAGAGTCATTCGCAGAAACTAGTTTGTGATGTGTGCCTTCAACTCACAGAGTTTAACCTTTCTTTTCATAGAGCAGTTTGGAAACACTCTATTTGTAAAGTCTGCAAGTGGATATTTGGACCTCTTTGAGGCCTTCGTTGGAAACGGGATTTCTTCATATAACGCTAGACAGAAGAATTCTCTGTAACTTCTTTGTGTTGTGTGTATTCCACTCACAGAGTTGAACCTTTCTTGAGAGAGAGCAGAGTTGAAACACTCTTTCTGTGGAATTTGCTAGTGCAGATTTCAAACGCTTCGAAGACAGTGATAGAAAAGGATATATCTTCGTATTAAAACTAGACAAAATCATTCTCAACAACTACTTTGTGATGTGTGCGTTCAACTCACAGAGTTTAACCTTTCTTTTCATAGAGCAGTTTGGAAACACTCTGTTTGTAAAGTCTGCAGGTGCTTATTTGGACTTCTTTGAGGCCTTCGTTGGAAACGGGATTTCTTCATGTAATGCTAGACAGAAGAATTCTCAGTCACTTCTTTGTGTTGTGTGTATTCAAGTCACAGAGTTGAACCTTCCTTTACACAGAGCAGTTTTGAAAAACTCTTTCTGTGGAATTTGCAAGTGGAGATTTCAAGCGATTTGAGGCTAATCTTTGAAATGGAAATAGCTTCGTGTAAAAACTACACAGAATCATTCTCAGAAACTGCTTTGTTATGTGTGCGTTCAGCTCACAGAGTTCCACCTTTCTTTTCATAGAGCAGTTTGGAAAGACTCTGTCTGTAAAGTCTGCAAGTGATTACTTGGACCCCTTTGAGGACTTCGTTGGAAGCGGGATTTTTTCATTTACTGCTAGACAGAAGAATTCTCAGTAAATCCTTTGTGTTGTGTGTATTCAACCTTCCTTTATTCAGAGCAGTTTTGAAACACTCTTTTTGTGGAATTTGCAAGTGGAGATTTCAAGCGAATTCATGCCAATCTTAGACATGGAAACATCTTCGTATTAAAAGTACACAGAGTCATTCGCAGAAACTAGTTTGTGATGTGTGCCTTCAACTCACGGAGTTTAACCTTTCTTTTCATAGAGCAGTTTGGAAACACTCTATTTGTAAAGTCTGCAAGTGGATATTTGGACCTCTTTGAGGCCTTCGTTGGAAACGGGATTTCTTCATATAACGCTAGACAGAAGAATTCTCAGTAACTTCTTTGTGTTGTGTGTATTCCACTCACAGAGTTGAACCTTTCTTGAGAGAGAGCAGAGTTGAAACACTCTGTTTGTGGAATTTGCTAGTGCAGATTTCAAACGCTTCGAAGACAGTGATAGAAAAGGATATATCTTCGTATTAAAACTAGACAAAATCATTCTCAGAAAACACTTTGTGATGTGTGTGTTCAACTCACAGAGTTTAACCTTTCTTTAATCGAGCAGTTTGGAAATACACTCTTTGTAAGTCTGCAGCTGGATAATTGTCCCTCTATGAGCCCTTCGTTGGAAACGGGATTTCCTCATATAATGCTAGACAGAAGAATTCTCAGTCACTTCTTTGTGTTGTGTGTATTCAAGTCACAGAGTTGAACCTTCCTTTAGACAGAGTAGTTTTGAAAAATTCTTTCTGTGGAGTTTGCAAGTGGAGATTTCAAGCGATTTGAGGCTAATCTTTGAAATGGAAATATCTTCGTGTAAAAACTATACAGAATCATTCTCAGAAACTGCTTTGTCATCTGTGCGTTCAGTTCACAGAGTTTCACCTTTCTCTTCATAGAGCAGTTTGGAAAGACTCTGTCTCTAAAGTCTGCAAGTGATTAGTTAGACCCCTTTGAGGCCTTCGTTGGAAGCGGGATTTCTCATTTACTGCTAGAAAGAAGAATTCTCAGTAAATCCTTCGTGTTGTGTGTATTCAACTCACAGAGTGGAACCTTCCTTTATTCAGAGCAGTTTTGAAACACTCTTTTTGTGGAATTTGCAAGTGGAGATTTCAAGCGAATTCACGCAAATCTTAGACATGGAAACATCTTCGTATTAAAAGTACACAGAGTCATTCGCAGAAACTAGTTTGTGATGTGTGCCTTCAACTCACAGAGTTTAAGCTTTCTTTTCATAGAGCAGTTTGGAAACACTCTATTTGTAAAGTCTGCAAGTGGATATTTGGACCTCTTTGAGGCCTTCGTTGGAAACGGGATTTCTTCATATAACGCTAGACAGAAGAATTCTCAGTAACTTCTTTGTGTTGTTTGTATTCAACTCACAGCATTTGAACCTTCCTTTAGAGAGAGCAGATTTGAAACACTCTGTTTTTGGAATTTGCAAGTGCAGATTGCAAGCGCTTCTAGGCCTATGGCAGAAAAGGAAATATCTTCGTATAAAAACTACACAGAATCATTCTCAGAAAACACTTTGTGATGTGTGTGTTCAACTCACAGAGTTTAACCTTTCTTTAATCGAGCAGTTTGGAAATACACTCTTTGTAAGTCTGCAGCTGGATAATTGTCCCTCTATGAGCCCTTCGTTGGAAACGGGATTTCCTCTTATAATGCTAGACAGAAGAATTCTCAGTCACTTCTTTGTGTTGTGTGTATTCAAGTCACAGAGTTGAACCTTCCTTTACACAGAGCAGTTTTGAAAAACTCTTTCTGTGGAATTTGCAAGTGGAGATTTCAAGCGATTTGAGGCTAATCTTTGAAATGGAAATATCTTCGTGTAAAAACTACACAGAATCATTCTCAGAAACTGCTTTCTTATGTGTGCGTTCAGCTCACAGAGTTCCACCTTTCTTTTCATAGAGCAGTTTGGAAAGACTCTGTCTGTAAAGTCTGCAAGTGATTACTTGGACCCCTTTGAGGACTTCGCTGGAAGCGGGATTTTTTCATTTACTGCTAGACAGAAGAATTCTCAGTAAATCCTTTGTGTTGTGTGTATTCAACTCACAGAGTGGAACCTTCCTTTATTCAGAGCAGTTTTGAAACACTCTTTTTGTGGAATTTGCATGTGGAGATTTCAAGCGAATTCACGCCAATCTTAGACATGGAAACATCTTCGTATTAAAAGTACACAGAGTCATTCGCAGAAACTAGTTTGTGATGTGTGCCTTCAACTCACAGAGTTTAACCTTTCTTTTCATAGAGCAGTTTGGAAACACTCTATTTGTAAAGTCTGCAAGTGGATATTTGGACCTCTTTGAGGCCTTCGTTGGAAACGGGATTTCTTCATATAACGCTAGACAGAAGAATTCTCAGTAACTTCTTTGTGTTGTGTGTATTCCACTCACAGAGTTGAACCTTTCTTGAGAGAGAGCAGAGTTGAAACACTCTGTTTGTGGAATTTGCTAGTGCAGATTTCAAACGCTTCGAAGACAGTGATAGAAAAGGATATATCTTCGTATTAAAACTAGACAAAATCATTCTCAGAAAACACTTTGTGATGTGTGTGTTCAACTCACAGAGTTTAACCTTTCTTTAATCGAGCAGTTTGGAAATACACTCTTTGTAAGTCTGCAGCTGGATAATTGTCCCTCTATGAGCCCTTCGTTGGAAACGGGATTTCCTCATATAATGCTAGACAGAAGAATTCTCAGTCACTTCTTTGTGTTGTGTGTATTCAAGTCACAGAGTTGAACCTTCCTTTACACAGAGCAGTTTTGAAAAACTCTTTCTGTGGAATTTGCAAGTGGAGATTTCAAGCGATTTGAGGCTAATCTTTGAAATGGAAATATCTTCGTGTAAAAACTACACAGAATCATTCTCAGAAACTGCTTTGTTATGTGTGCGTTCAGCTCACAGAGTTCCACCTTTCTTTTCATAGAGCAGTTTGGAAAGACTCTGTCTGTAAAGTCTGCAAGTGAATACTTGGACCCCTTTGAGGACTTCGTTGGAAGCGGGATTTTTTCATTTACTGCTAGACAGAAGAATTCTCAGTAAATCCTTTGTGTTGTGTGTATTCAACTCACAGAGTGGAACCTTCCTTTATTCAGAGCAGTTTTGAAACACTCTTTTTGTGGAATTTGCAAGTGGAGATTTCAAGCGAATTCACGCCAATCTTAGACATGGAAACATCTTCGTATTAAAAGTACACAGAGTCATTCGCAGAAACTAGTTTGTGATGTGTGCCTTCAACTCACAGAGTTTAACCTTTCTTTTCATAGAGCAGTTTGGAAACACTCTATTTGTAAAGTCTGCAAGTGGATATTTGGACGTCTTTGAGGCCTTCGTTGGAAACGGGATTTCTTCATATAACGCTAGACAGAAGAATTCTCAGTAACTTCTTTGTGTTGTGTGTATTCCACTCACAGAGTTGAACCTTTCTTGAGAGAGAGCAGAGTTGAAACACTCTGTTTGTGGAATTTGCTAGTGCAGATTTCAAACGCTTCGAAGACAGTGATAGAAAAGGATATATCTTCGTATTAAAACTAGACAAAATCATTCTCAGAAAACACTTTGTGATGTGTGTGTTCAACTCACAGAGTTTAACCTTTCTTTAATCGAGCAGTTTGGAAATACACTCTTTGTAAGTCTGCAGCTGGATAATTGTCCCTCTATGAGCCCTTCGTTGGAAACGGGATTTCCTCTTATAATGCTAGACAGAAGAATTCTCAGTAACTTCTTTGTGTTGTTTGTATTCAACTCACAGATTTGAACCTTCCTTTGGAGAGAGCAGATTTGAAACACTCTGTTTTTGGAATTTGCAAGTGCAGATTTCAAGCGCTTCTAGGCCTATGGCAGAAAATTAAATATCTTCGTATAAAAACTACACAGAATCATTCTCAACAACTACTTTGTGATGTGTGCGTTCAACTCACAGAGTTTAACCTTTCTTTTCATAGAGCAGTTTGGAAACACTCTGTTTGTAAAGTCTGCAGGTGCTTATTTGGACTTCTTTGAGGCCTTCGTTGGAAACGGGATTTCTTCATGTAATGCTAGACAGAAGAATTCTCAGTCACTTCTTTGTGTTGTGTGTATTCAAGTCACAGAGTTGAACCTTCCTTTAGACAGAGCAGTTTTGAAAAATTCTTTCTGTGGAGTTTGCAAGTGGAGATTTCAAGCGATTTGAGGCTAATCTTTGAAATGGAAATATCTTCGTGTAAAAACTACACAGAATCATTCTCAGAAACTGCTTTGTTATGTGTGCGTTCAGCTCACAGAGTTCCACCTTTGTTTTCATAGAGCAGTTTGGAAAGACTCTGTCTGTAAAGTCTGCAAGTGATTACTTGGACCCCTTTGAGGACTTCGTTGGAAGCGGGATTTTTTCATTTACTGCTAGACAGAAGAATTCTCAGTAAATCCTTTGTGTTGTGTGTATTCAACTCACAGAGTGGAACCTTCCTTTATTCAGAGCAGTTTTGAAACACTCTTTTTGTGGAATTTGCAAGTGGAGATTTCAAGCGAATTCACGCCAATCTTAGACATGGAAACATCTTCGTATTAAAAGTACACAGAGTCATTCGCAGAAACTAGTTTGTGATGTGTGCGTTCAACTCACAGAGTTTAACCTTTCTTTTCATAGAGCAGTTTGGAAACACTCTGTTTGTAAAGTCTGCAGGTGCTTATTTGGACTTCTTTGAGGCCTTCGTTGGAAACGGGATTTCTTCATATAATGCTAGACAGAAGAATTCTCAGTCACTTCTTTGTGTTGTGTGTATTCAAGTCACAGAGTTGAACCTTCCTTTACACAGAGCAGTTTTGAAAAACTCTTTCTGTGGAATTTGCAAGTGGAGATTTCAAGCGATTTGAGGCTAATCTTTGAAATGGAAATATCTTCGTGCAAAAACTACACAGAAATCATTCTCAGAAACTGCTTTGTTATGTGTGCGTTCAGCTCACAGAGTTCCACCTTTCTTTTCATAGAGCAGTTTGGAAAGACTCTGTCTGTAAAGTCTGCAAATGATTACTTGGACCCCTTTGAGGACTTCGTTGGAAGCGGGATTTTTTCATTTACTGCTAGACAGAAGAATTCTCAGTAAATCCTTTGTGTTGTGTGTATTCAACTCACAGAGTGGAACCTTCCTTTATTCAGAGCAGTTTTGAAACACTCTTTTTGTGGAATTTGCAAGTGGAGATTTCAAGCGAATTCACGAAAATCTTAGACATGGAAACATCTTCGTATTAAAAGTACACAGAGTCATTCGCAGAAACTAGTTTGTGTTGTGTGCCTTCAACTCACAGAGTTTAACCTTTCTTTTCATAGAGCATTTTGGAAACACTCTATTTGTAAAGTCTGCAAGTGGATATTTGGACGTCTTTGAGGCCTTCGTTGGAAACGGGATTTCTTCATGTAACGCTAGACAGAAGAATTCTCAGTAACTTCTTTGTGTTGTGTGTATTCCACTCACAGAGTTGAACCTTTCTTGAGAGAGAGCAGAGTTGAAACACTCTGTTTGTGGAATTTGCTAGTGCAGATTTCAAACGCTTCGAAGACAGTGATAGAAAAGGATATATCTTCGTATTAAAACTAGACAAAATCATTCTCAGAAAACACTTTGTGATGTGTGTGTTCAACTCACAGAGTTTAACCTTTCTTTAATCGAGCAGTTTGGAAATACACTCTTTGTAAGTCTGCAGCTGGATAATTGTCCCTCTATGAGCCCTTCGTTGGAAACGGGATTTCCTCATATAATGCTAGACAGAAGAATTCTCAGTCACTTCTTTGTGTTGTGTGTATTCAAGTCACAGAGTTGAACCTTCCTTTAGACAGAGCAGTTTTGAAAAATTCTTTCTGTGGAGTTTGCAAGTGGAGATTTCAAGCGATTTGAGGCTAATCTTTGAAATGGAAATATCTTCGTGTAAAAACTACACAGAATCATTCTCAGAAACTGCTTTGTCATCTGTGCGTTCAGTTCACAGAGTTTCACCTTTCTCTTCATACAGCAGTTTGGAAAGACTCTGTCTGTAAAGTCTGCAAGTGATTAGTTAGACCCCTTTGAGGCCTTCGTTGGAAGCGGGATTTCTCATTTACTGCTAGACAGAAGAATTCTCAGTAAATCCTTTGTGTTGTGTGTATTCAACTCACAGAGTGGAACCTTCCTTTATTCAGAGCAGTTTTCAAACACTCTTTTTGTGGAATTTGCAAGTGGAGATTTCAAGCGATTTGACGCCAATCTTAGACATGGAAATATCTTCATATTAAAAGTACACAGAGTCATTCGTAGAAACTAGTTTGTGATGTGTGCCTTCAACTCACAGAGTTTAACCTTTCTTTTCATAGAGCAGTTGGGAAACACTCTATTTGTAAAGTCTGCAAGTGGATATTTGGACCTCTTTGAGGCCTTCGTTGGAAACGGGATTTCTTCATATAACGCTAGACAGAAGAATTCTCAGTAACTTCTTTGTGTTGTGTGTATTCAACTCACAGAGTTGAACCTTTCTTGAGAGAGAGCAGAGTGGAAACACTCTTTTTGTGGAATTTGCTAGTGCAGATTTCAAACGCTTCGAAGACAGTGATAGAAAAGGATATATCTTCGTATTAAAACTAGACAAAATCATTCTCAGAAAACACTTTGTGATGTGTGTGTTCAACTCACAGAGTTTAACCTTTCTTTAATCGAGCAGTTTGGAAATACACTCTTTGTAAGTCTGCAGGTGGATAATTGTCCCTCTATGAGCCCTTCGTTGGAAACGGGATTTCCTCATATAATGCTAGACAGAAGAATTCTCAGTCACTTCTTTGTGTTGTGTGTATTCAAGTCACAGAGTTGAACCTTCCTTTAGACAGAGCAGTTTTGAAAAATTCTTTCTGTGGAGTTTGCAAGTGGAGATTTCAAGCGATTTGAGGCTAATCTTTGAAATGGAAATATCTTCGTGTAAAAACTACACAGAATCATTCTCAGAAACTGCTTTGTCATCTGTGCGTTCAGTTCACAGAGTTTCACCTTTCTCTTCATAGAGCAGTTTGGAAAGACTCTGTCTGTAAAGTCTGCAAGTGATTAGTTAGACCCCTTTGAGGCCTTCGTTGGAAGAGGGATTTCTCATTTACTGCTAGACAGAAGAATTCTCAGTAAATCCTTTGTGTTGTGTGTATTCATCTCACAGAGTGGAACCTTCCTTTATTCAGAGCAGTTTTGAAACACTCTTTTTGTGGAATTTGCAAGTGGAGATTTCAAGCGATTTGACGCCAATCTTAGACATGGAAATATCTTCATATTAAAAGTACACAGAGTCATTCGTAGAAACTAGTTTGTGATGTGTGCCTTCAACTCACAGAGTTTAACCTTTCTTTTCATAGAGCAGTTGGGAAACACTCTATTTGTAAAGTCTGCAAGTGGATATTTGGACCTCTTTGAGGCCTTCGTTGGAAACGGGATTTCTTCATATAACGCTAGACAGAAGAATTCTCAGTAACTTCTTTGTGTTGTGTGTATTCAACTCACAGAGTTGAACCTTTCTTTAGAGGGAGCAGAGGTGAAACAGTCTTTTTGTGGAATTTGCCAGTGTAGATTTCAAACGCTTCGAAGTCAGTGATAGAAAAGGAGATATCTTCGTATTAAAAGTAGACAAAATCATTCTCAGAAAACTCTTTGTGATGTGTGTGTTCAACTCACAGAGTTTAACCTTTCTTTAATCGAGCAGTTTGGAAATACACTCTTTGTAAGTCTGCAGGTGGATATTTGGCCCTCTTTGAGCCCTTCTTTGGAAACGGGATTTCCTCTTATAATGCTAGACAGAAGAATTCTCAGTAACTTCTCTGTGTTGTTTGTATTCAACTCACAGATTTGAACCTTCCTTTAGAGAGAGCAGATTTGAAACATTCTGTTTTTGGAATTTGCAAGTGCAGATTTCAAGCACTTCTAGGCCTATGGCAGAAAAGGAAATATCTTCGTATAAAAACTACACAGAATCATTCTCAACAACTACTTTGTGATGTGTGCGTTCAACTCACAGAGTTTAACCTTTCTTTTCATAGAGCAGTTTGGAAACACTCTGTTTGTAAAGCCTGCAAGTGCTTTTTTGGACTTCATTGAGGCCTTCTTTGGAAACGGGATTTCTTCATACAACGCTAGACAGAAGAATTCTCAGTCACTTCTTTGTGTTGTGTGTATTCAAGTCACAGAGTTGAAACTTCCTTTACACAGAGCAGTTTTGAAAAACTCTTTCTGTGGAATTTGCAAGTGGAGATGTCAAGCGATTTGAGGCTAATCTTTGAAATGGAAATACCTCCGTGTAAAAACTACACAGAATCATTCTCAGAAACTGCTTTGTTATGTGTGCGTTCAGCTCACAGAGTTCCACCTTTCTTTTCATAGAGCAGTTTGGAAAGACTCTGTCTGTAAAGTCTGCAAGTGATTACTTGGACCCCTTTGAGGACTTCGTTGGAAGCGGGATTTTTTCATTTACTGCCAGAAAGAAGAATTCTCAGTAAATCCTTTGTGTTGTGTGTATTCAACTCACAGAGTGGAACCTTCCTTTATTCAGAGCAGTTTTGAAACACTCTTTTTGTGGAATTTGCAAGTGGAGATTTCAAGCGAATTCACGCCAATCTTAGACATGGAAACATCTTCGTATTAAAAGTACACAGAGTCATTCGCAGAAACTAGTTTGTGATGTGTGCCTTCAACTCACAGAGTTTAACCTTTCTTTTCATAGAGCATTTTGGAAACACTCTATTTGTAAAGTCTGCAAGTGGATATTTGGACCTCTTTGAGGCCTTCGTTGGAAACGGGATTTCTTCATATAACGCTAGACAGAAGAATTCTCAGTAACTTCTTTGTGTTGTGTGTATTCCACTCACAGAGTTGAAACTTTCTTGAGAGAGAGCAGAGTTGAAACACTCTGTTTGTGGAATTTGCTAGTGCAGATTTCAAACGCTTCGAAGACAGTGATAGAAAAGGATATATCTTCGTATTAAAACTAGACAAAATCATTCTCAGAAAACACTTTGTGATGTGTGTGTTCAACTCACAGAGTTTAACCTTTCTTTAATCGAGCAGTTTGGAAATACACTCTTTGTAAGTCTGCAGCTGGATAATTGTCCCTCTATGAGCCCTTCGTTGGAAACGGGATTTCCTCATATAATGCTAGACAGAAGAATTCTCAGTCACTTCTTTGTGTTGTGTGTATTCAAGTCACAGAGTTGAACCATCCTTTACACAGAGCAGTTTTGAAAAACTCTTTCTGTGGAATTTGCAAGTGGAGATTTCAAGCGATTTGAGGCTAATCTTTGAAATGGAAATAGCTTCGTGTAAAAACTACACAGAATCATTCTCAACAACTACTTTGTGATGTGTGCGTTCAACTCACAAAGTTTAACCTTTCTTTTCATAGAGAAGTTTGGAAACACTCTGTTTGTAAAGCCTGCAAGTGCTTTTTTGGACTTCATTGAGGCCTTCTTTGGAAACGGGATTTCTTCATATAATGCTAGACAGAAGAATTCTCAGTAAATCCTTTGTGTTGTGTGTATTCAACTCACAGAGTGGAACCTTCCTTTATTCAGAGCAGTTTTGAAAGACTCTTTTTGTGGAATTTGCAAATGGAGATTTCAAGCGATTTGATGCCAATCTTAGACATGGAAATATCTTCATATTAAAAGTACACAGAGTCATTCGCAGAAACTAGTTTGTGTTGTGTGCCTTCAACTCACAGAGTTTAACCTTTCTTTTCATAGAGCATTTTGGAAACACTCTATTTGTAAAGTCTGCAAGTGGATATTTGGACGTCTTTGAGGCCTTCGTTGGAAACGGGATTTCTTCATGTAACGCTAGACAGAAGAATTCTCAGTAACTTCTTTGTGTTATGTGTATTCAACTCACAGAGTTGAACCTTTCTTTAGAGGGAGCAGAGGTGAAACACTCTTTTTGTGGAATTTGCTAGTGTAGATTTCAAACGCTTCGAAGACAGTGATAGAAAAGGATATATCTTCGTATTAAAAGTAGACAAAATCATTCTCAACAACTACTTTGTGATGTGTGCGTTCAACTCACAGAGTTTAACCTTTCTTTTCATAGAGCAGTTTGGAAACACTCTGTTTGTAAAGCCTGCAAGTGCTTTTTTGGACTTCATTGAGGCCTTCGTTGGAAACGGGATTTCTTCATATAATGCTAGACAGAAGAATTCTCAGTCACTTCTTTGTGTTGTGTGTATTCAAGTCACAGAGTTGAACCTTCTTTTAGACAGAGCAGTTTTGAAAAATTCTTTCTGTGGAATTTGCAAGTGGAGATTTCAAGCGACTTGAGGCTAATCTTTGAAATGGAAATATCTTCGTGTAAAAACTACACAGAATCATTCTCAGAAACTGCTTTGTTATCTGTGCGTTCAGTTCACAGAGTTTCACCTTTCTCTTCATAGAGCAGTTTGGAAAGACTCTGTCTGTAAAGTCTGCAAGTGATTAGTTAGACCCCTTTGAGGCCTTCGTTGGAAGCGGGATTTCTCATTTATTGCTAGACAGAAGAATTCTCAGTAAATCCTTTGTGTTGTGTGTATTCAACTCACAGAAGTGGAACCTTCCTTTATTCAGAGCAGTTTTGAAAAACACTTTTTGTGGAATTTGCAAGTGGAGATTTCAAGCGATTTGACGTCAATCTTAGACATGGAAATATCTTCATATTAAAAGTACACAGAATCATTCTCAGAAAAACTCTTTGTGATGTGTGTGTTCAACTCACAGAGTTTAACCTTTCTTTAATCGAGCAGTTTGGAAATACACTCTTTGTAAGTCTGCAGGTGGATATTTGGCCCTCTTTGAGCCCTTCGTTGGAAACGGGATTTCCTCATATAATGCTAGACAGAAGAATTCTCAGTAACTTCTTTGTGTTGTTTGTATTCAACTCACAGATTTGAACCTTCCTTTAGAGAGAGCAGATTTGAAACACTCTGTTTTTGGAATTTGCAAGTGCAGATTACAAGCGCTTCTAGGCCTATGGCAGAAAAGGAAATATCTTCGTATAAAAACTACACAGAAATCATTCTCAACAACTACTTTGTGATGTGTGCGTTCAACTCACAGAGTTTAACCTTTCTTTTCATAGAGCAGTTTGGAAACACTCTGTTTGTTAAGTCTGCAGGTGCTTATTTGGACTTCTTTGAGGCCTTCGTTGGAAACGGGATTTCTTCATATAATGCTAGACAGAAGAATTCTCAGTCACTTCTTTGTGTTGTGTGTATTCAAGTCACAGAGTTGAACCTTCCTTTACACAGAGCAGTTTTGAGAAACTCTTTCTGTGGAATTTGCAAGTGGAGATTTCAAGCGATTTGAGGCTAATCTTTGAAATGGAAATATCTTCGTGCAAAAACTACACAGAATCATTCTCAGAAACTGCTTTGTTATGTGTGCGTTCAGCTCACAGAGTTCCACCTTTCTTTTCATAGAGCAGTTTGGAAAGACTCCGTCTGTAAAGTCTGCAAATGATTACTTGGACCCCTTTGAGGACTTCGTTGGAAGCGGGATTTTTTCATTTACTGCTAGACAGAAGAATTCTCAGTAAATCCTTTGTGTTGTGTGTATTCAACTCACAGAGTGGAACCTTCCTTTATTCAGAGCAGTTTTGAAACACTCTTTTGGTGGAATTTGCAAGTGGAGATTTCAAGGGAATTCACGCCAATCTTAGACATGGAAACATCTTCGTATTAAAAGTACACAGAGTCATTCGCAGAAACTAGTTTGTGATGTGTGCCTTCAACTCACGGAGTTTAACCTTTCTTTTCATAGAGCAGTTTGGAAACACTCTATTTGTAAAGTCTGCAAGTGGATATTTGGACCTCTTTGAGGCCTTCGTTGGAAACGGGATTTCTTCATATAACGCTAGACAGAAGAATTCTCAGTAACTTCTTTGTGTTGTGTGTATTCCACTCACAGAGTTGAACCTTTCTTGAGAGAGAGCAGAGTGGAAACACTCTGTTTGTGGAATTTGCTAGTGCAGATTTCAAACGCTTCGAAGACAGTGATAGAAAAGGATATATCTTCGTATTAAAACTAGACAAAATCATTCTCAGAAAACACTTTGTGATGTGTGTGTTCAACTCACAGAGTTTAACCTTTCTTTAATCGAGCAGTTTGGAAATACACTCTTTGTAAGTCTGCAGCTGGATAATTGTCCCTCTATGAGCCCTTCCTTGGAAACGGGATTTCCTCTTATAATGCTAGACAGAAGAATTCTCAGTCACTTCTTTGTGTTGTGTGTATTCAAGTCACAGAGTTGAACCTTCCTTTACACAGAGCAGTTTTGAAAAACTCTTTCTGTGGAATTTGCAACTGGAGATTTCAAGCGATTTGAGGCTAATCTTTGAAATGGAAATAGCTTCGTGTAAAAACTACACAGAATCATTCTCAGAAACTGCTTTGTTATGTGTGCGTTCAGCTCACAGAGTTCCACCTTTCTTTTCATAGAGCAGTTTGGAAAGACTCTGTCTGTAAAGTCTGCAAGTGATTACTTGGACCCCTTTGAGGACTTCGTTGGAAGCGGGATTTTTTCATTTACTGCTAGACAGAAGAATTCTCAGTAAATCCTTTGTGTTGTTTGTATTCAACTCACAGAGTGGAACCTTCCTTTATTCAGAGCAGTTTTGAAACACTCTTTTTGTGGAATTTGCAAGTGGAGATTTCAAGCGAATTCACGCCAATCTTAGACATGGAAACATCTTCGTAATAAAAGTACACAGAGTCATTCGCAGAAACTAGTTTGTGATGTGTGCCTTCAACTCACAGAGTTTAACCTTTCTTTTCATAGAGCAGTTTGGAAACACTCTATTTGTAAAGTCTGCAAGTGGATATTTGGACCTCTTTGAGGCCTTCGTTGGAAACGGGATTTCTTCATATAACGCTAGACAGAAGAATTCTCAGTAACTTCTTTGTGTTGTGTGTATTCCACTCACAGAGTTGAACCTTTCTTGAGAGAGAGCAGAGTTGAAACACTCTGTTTGTGGAATTTGCTAGTGCAGATTTCAAACGCTTCGAAGACTGTGATAGAAAAGGATATATCTTCGTATTAAAACTAGACAAAATCATTCTCAGAAAACACTTTGTGATGTGTGTGTTCAACTCACAGAGTTTAACCTTTCTTTAATCGAGCAGTTTGGAAATACACTCTTTGTAAGTCTGCAGCTGGATAATTGTCCCTCTATGAGCCCTTCGTTGGAAACGGGATTTCCTCATATAATGCTAGACAGAAGAATTCTCAGTTACTTCTTTGTGTTGTTTGTATTCAACTCACAGATTTGAACCTTCCTTTAGAGAGAGCAGATTTGAAACACTCTGGTTTTGGAATTTGCAAGTGCAGATTACAAGCGCTTCTAGGCCTATGGCAGAAAAGGAAATATCTTCGAGTAAAAACTACACAGAATCATTCTCAACAACTACTTTGTGATGTGTGCGTTCAACTCACAGAGTTTAACCTTTCTTTTCATAGAGCAGTTTGGAAACACTCTGTTTGTAAAGTCTGCAGGTGCTTATTTGGACTTCTTTGAGGCCTTCGTTGGAAACGGGATTTCTTCATATAATGCTAGACAGAAGAATTCTCAGTCACTTCTTTGTGTTGTGTGTATTCAAGTCACAGAGTTGAACCTTCCTTTACACAGAGCAGTTTTGAAAAACTCTTTCTGTGGAATTTGCAAGTGGAGATTTCAAGCGATTTGAGGTTAATCTTTGAAATGGAAATATCTTCGTGTAAAAACTACACAGAATCATTCTCAGAAACTGCTTTGTCATCTGTGCGTTCAGTTCACAGAGTTTCACCTTTCTCTTCATAGAGCAGTTTGGAAAGACTCTGTCTGTAAAGTCTGCAAGTGATTAGTTAGACCCCTTTGAGGCCTTCGTTGGAAGCGGGATTTCTCATTTACTGCTAGACAGAAGAATTCTCAGTAAATCCTTTGTGTTGTGTGTATTCAACTCACAGAGTGGAACCTTCCTTTATTCAGAGCAGTTTTGAAAAACACTTTTTGTGGAATTTGCAAGTGGAGATTTCAAGCGATTTGACGCCAATCTTAGACATGGAAATATCTTCATATTAAAAGTACACAGAGTCATTCGTAGAAACTAGTTTGTGATGTGTGCCTTCAACTCACAGAGTTTAACCTTTCTTTTCATAGAGCAGTTGGGAAACACTCTATTTGTAAAGTCTGCAAGTGGATATTTGGACCTCTTTGAGGCCTTCGTTGGAAACGGGATTTCTTCATATAACGCTAGACAGAAGAATTCTCAGTAACTTCTTTGTGTTGTGTGTATTCAACTCACAGAGTTGAACCTTTCTTTAGAGGGAGCAGAGGTGAAACACTCTTTTTGTGGAATTTGCTAGTGTAGATTTCAAACGCTTCGAAGACAGTGATAGAAAAGGATATATCTTCGTATTAAAAGTAGACAAAATCATTCTCAGAAAACTCTTTGTGATGTGTGTGTTCAACTCACAGAGTTTAACCTTTCTTTAATCGAGCAGTTTGGAAATACACTCTTTGTAAGTCTGCAGGTGGATATTTGGCCCTCTTTGAGCCCTTCGTTGGAAACGGGATTTCCTCATATAATGCTAGACAGAAGAATTCTCAGTAACTTCTTTGTGTTGTTTGTATTCAACACACAGATTTGAACCTTCCTTTAGAGAGAGCAGATTTGAAACACTCTGTTTTTGGAATTTGCAAGTGCAGATTTCAAGCGCTTCTAGGCCTATGGCAGAAAAGGAAATATCTTCGTATAAAAACTACACAGAATCATTCTCAACAACTACTTTGTGATGTGTGCGTTCAACTCACAGAGTTTAACCTTTCTTTTCATAGAGCAGTTTGGAAACACTCTGTTTGTAAAGTCTGCAGGTGCTTATTTGGACTTCTTTGAGGCCTTCATTGGAAACGGGATTTCTTCATATAATGCTAGACAGAAGAATTCTCAGTCACTTCTTTGTGTTGTGTGTATTCAAGTCACAGAGTTGAACCTTCCTTTACACAGAGCAGTTTTGAAAAACTCTTTCTGTGGAATTTGCAAGTGGAGATTTCAAGCGATTTGAGGCTAATCTTTGAAATGGAAATATCTTCGTGTAAAAACTACACAGAATCATTCTCAGAAACTGCTTTGTTATGTGTGCGTTCAGCTCACAGAGTTCCACCTTTCTTTTCATAGAGCAGTTTGGAAAGTCTCTGTCTGTAAAGTCTGCAAGTGATTACTTGGACCCCTTTGAGGACTTCGTTGGAAGCGGGATTTTTTCATTTACTGCTAGACAGAAGAATTCTCAGTAAATCCTTTGTGTTGTGTGTATTCAACTCACAGAGTGGAACCTTCCTTTATTCAGAGCAGTTTTGAAACACTCTTTTTGTGGAATTTGCAAGTGGAGATTTCAAGCGAATTCACGCCAATCTTAGACATGGAAACATCTTTGGTATTAAAAGTACACAGAAGTCATTCGCAGCAAACTAGTTTGTGATGTGTGCCTTCAACTCACAGAGTTTAAGCTTTCTTTTCATAGAGCAGTTTGGAAACACTCTATTTGTAAAGTCTGCAAGTGGATATTTGGAACTCTTTGAGGCCTTCGTTGGAAACGGGATTTCTTCATATAACGCTAGACAGAAGAATTCTCAGTAACTTCTTTGTGTTGTGTGTATTCCACTCACAGAGTTGAACCTTTCTTGAGAGAGAGCAGAGTTGAAACACTCTGTTTGTGGAATTTGCTAGTGCAGATTTCAAACGCTTCGAAGACAGTGATAGAAAAGGATATATCTTCGTATTAAAACTAGACAAAATCATTCTCAGAAAACACTTTGTGATGTGTGTGTTCAACTCACAGAGTTTAACCTTTCTTTAATCGAGCAGTTTGGAAATACACTCTTTGTAAGTCTGCAGCTGGATAATTGTCCCTCTATGAGCCCTTCGTTGGAAACGGGATTTCCTCATATAATGCTAGACAGAAGAATTCTCAGTCACTTCTTTGTGTTGTGTGTATTCAAGTCACAGAGTTGAACCTTCCTTTACACAGAGCAGTTTTGAAAAACTCTTTCTGTGGAATTTGCAAGTGGAGATTTCAAGCGATTTGAGGCTAATCTTTGAAATGGAAATATCTTCGTGTAAAAACTACACAGAATCATTCTCAGAAACTGCTTTGTTATGTGTGCGTTCAGCTCACAGAGTTCCACCTTTCTTTTCATAGAGCAGTTTGGAAAGACTCTGTCTGTAAAGTCTGCAAGTGATTACTTGGACCCCTTTGAGGACTTCGTTGGAAGCGGGATTTTTTCATTTACTGCTAGACAGAAGAATTCTCAGTAAATCCTTTGTGTTGTGTGTATTCAACTCACAGAGTGGAACCTTCCTTTATTCAGAGCAGTTTTGAAACACTCTTTTTGTGGAATTTGCAAGTGGAGATTTCAAGCGAATTCACGCCAATCGTAGACATGGAAACATCTTCGTATTAAAAGTACACAGAGTCATTCGCAGAAACTAGTTTGTGATGTGTGCCTTCAACTCACAGAGTTTAACCTTTCTTTTCATAGAGCAGTTTGGAAACACTCTATTTGTAAAGTCTGCAAGTGGATATTTGGACCTCTTTGAGGCCTTCGTTGGAAACGGGATTTCTTCATATAACGCTAGACAGAAGAATTCTCAGTAACTTCTTTGTGTTGTGTGTATTCCACTCACAGAGTTGAACCTTTCTTGAGAGAGAGCAGAGTTGAAACACTCTGTTTGTGGAATTTGCTAGTGCAGATTTCAAACGCTTCGAAGACAGTGATAGAAAAGGATATATCTTCGTATTAAAAGTAGACAAAATCATTCTCAACAACTACTTTGTGATGTGTGCGTTCAACTCACAGAGTTTAACCTTTCTTTTCATAGAGCAGTTTGGAAACACTCTGTTTGTAAAGTCTGCAGGTGCTTATTTGGACTTCTTTGAGGCCTTCGTTGGAAACGGGATTTCTTCATATAATGCTAGACAGAAGAATTCTCAGTCACTTCTTTGTGTTGTGTGTATTCAAGTCACAGAGTTGAACCTTCCTTTAGACAGAGCAGTTTTGAAAAATTCTTTCTGTGGAGTTTGCAAGTGGAGATTTCAAGCGATTTGAGGCTAATCTTTGAAATGGAAATATCTTCGTGTAAAAACTACACAGAATCTTTCTCAGAAACTGCTTTGTTATGTGTGCGTTCAGCTCACAGAGTTCCACCTTTCTTTTCATAGAGCAGTTTGGAAAGACTCTGTCTGTAAAGTCTGCAAGTGATTACTTGGACCCCTTTGAGGACTTCGTTGGAAGCGGGATTTTTTCATTTACTGCTAGACAGAAGAATTCTCAGTAAATCCTTTGTGTTGTGTGTATTCAACTCACAGAGTGGAACCTTCCTTTATTCAGAGCAGTTTTGAAACACTCTTTTTGTGGAATTTGCAAGTGGAGATTTCAAGCGAATTCACGCCAATCTTAGACATGGAAACATCTTCGTATTAAAAGTACACAGAGTCATTCGCAGAAACTAGTTTGTGATGTGTGCGTTCAACTCACGGAGTTTAACCTTTCTTTTCATAGAGCAGTTTCGAAACACTCTGTTTGTAAAGTCTGCAGGTGCTTATTTGGACTTCTTTGAGGCCTTCGTTGGAAACGGGATTTCTTCATATAATGATAGACAGAAGAATTCTCAGTCACTTCTTTGTGTTGTGTGTATTCAAGTCACAGAGTTGAACCTTCCTTTACACAGAGCAGTTTTGAAAAACTCTTTCTGTGGAATTTGCAAGTGGAGATGTCAAGCGATTTGAGGCTAATCTTTGAAATGGAAATATCTTCGTGTAAAAACTACACAGAATCATTCTCAGAAACTGCTTTGTTATGTGTGCGTTCAGCTCACAGAGTTCCACCTTTCTTTTCATAGAGCAGTTTGGAAAGACTCTGTCTGTAAAGTCTGCAAGTGATTACTTGGACCCCTTTGAGGACTTCGTTGGAAGCGGGATTTTTTCATTTACTGCTAGACAGAAGAATTCTCAGTAAATCCTTTGTGTTGTGTGTATTCAACTCACAGAGTGGAACCTTCCTTTATTCAGAGCAGTTTTGAAACACTCTTTTTGTGGAATTTGCAAGTGGAGATTTCAAGCGAATTCACGCCAATCTTAGACATGGAAACATCTTCGTATTAAAAGTACACAGAGTCATTCGCAGAAACTAGTTTGTGATGTGTGCCTTCAACTCACAGAGTTTAAACTTTCTTTTCATAGAGCAGTTTGGAAACACTCTATTTGTAAAGTCTGCAAGTGGATATTTGGACCTCTTTGAGGCCTTCGTTGGAAACGGGATTTCTTCATATAACGCTAGACAGAAGAATTCTCAGTAACTTCTTTGTGTTGTGTGTATTCCACTCACAGAGTTGAACCTTTCTTGAGAGAGAGCAGAGTTGAAACACTCTGTTTGTGGAATTTGCCAGTGCAGATTTCAAACGCTTCGAAGACAATGATAGAAAAGGATATATCTTCGTATTAAAACTAGACAAAATCATTCTCAACAACTACTTTGTGATGTGTGCGTTCAACTCACAGAGTTTAACCTTTCTTTTCATAGAGCAGTTTGGAAACACTCTGTTTGTAAAGCCTGCAAGTGCTTTTTTGGACTTCATTGAGGCCTTCGTTGGAAACGGGATTTCTTCATATAATGCTAGACAGAAGAATTCTCAGTCACTTCTTTGTGTTGTGTGTATTCAGATCACAGAGTTGAACCTTCCTTTAGACAGAGCAGTTTTGAAAAATTCTTTCTGTGGAATTTGCAAGTGGAGATTTCAAGCGATTTGAGGCTAATCTTTGAAATGGAAATATCTTCGTGTAAAAACTACACAGAATCATTCTCAGAAACTGCTTTGTCATCTGTGCGTTCAGTTCACAGAGTTTCACCTTTCTCTTCATAGAGCAGTTTGGAAAGACTCTGTCTGTAAAGTCTGCAAGTGATTAGTTAGACCCCTTTGAGGCCTTCGTTGGAAGCGGGATTTCTCATTTACTGCTAGACAGAAGAATTCTCAGTAAATCCTTTGTGTTGTGTGTATTCAACTCACAGAGTGGAACCTTCCTTTATTCAGAGCAGTTTTGAAACACTCTTTTTGTGGAATTTGCAAGTGGAGATTTCAAGCGATTTGACGCCAATCTTAGACATGGAAATATCTTCATATTAAAAGTACACAGAGTCATTCGTAGAAACTAGTTTGTGATGTGTGCCTTCAACTCACAGAGTTTAACCTTTCTTTTCATAGAGCAGTTGGGAAACACTCTATTTGTAAAGTCTGCAAGTGGATATTTGGACCTCTTTGAGGCCTTCGTTGGAAACGGGATTTCTTCATATAACGCTAGACAGAAGAATTCTCAGTAACTTCTTTGTGTTGTGTGTATTCAACTCACAGAGTTGAACCTTTCTTTAGAGGGAGCAGAGGTGAAACACTCTTTTTGTGGAATTTGCTAGTGTAGATTTCCAACGCTTCGAAGACAGTGATAGAAAAGGATATATCTTCGTATTAAAAGTAGACAAAATCATTCTCAGAAAACTCTTTGTGATGTGTGTGTTCAACTCACAGAGTTTAACCTTTCTTTAATCGAGCAGTTTGGAAATACACTCTTTGTAAGTCTGCAGGTGGATAATTGGCCCTCTTTGAGCCCTTCGTTGGAAACGGGATTTCCTCATATAATGCTAGACAGAAGAATTCTCAGTCACTTCTTTGTGTTGTGTGTATTCAAGTCACAGAGTTGAACCTTCCTTTACACAGAGCAGTTTTGAAAAACTCTTTCTGTGGAATTTGCAAGTGGAGATTTCAAGCGATTTGAGGCTAATCTTTGAAATGGAAATATCTTCGTGTAAAAACTACACAGAATCATTGTCAGAAACTGCTTTGTTATGTGTGCGTTCAGCTCACAGAGTTCCACCTTTCTTTTCATAGAGCAGTTTGGAAAGACTCTGTCTGTAAAGTCTGCAAGTGATTACTTGGACCCCTTTGAGGACTTCGTTGGAAGCGGGATTTTTTCATTTACTGCTAGACAGAAGAATTCTCAGTAAATCCTTTGTGTTGTGTGTATTCAACTCACAGAGTGGAACCTTCCTCTATTCAGAGCACTTTTGAAACACTCTTTTTGTGGAATTTGCAAGTGGAGATTTCAAGCGAATTTACGCCAATCTTAGACATGGAAACATCTTCGTATTAAAAGTACACAGAGTCATTCGCAGAAACTAGTTTGTGATGTGTGCCTTCAACTCACGGAGTTTAACCTTTCTTTTCATAGAGCAGTTTGGAAACACTCTATTTGTAAAGTCTGCAAGTGGATATTTGGACCTCTTTGAGGCCTTCGTTGGAAACGGGATTTCTTCATATAACGCTAGACAGAAGAATTCTCAGTAACTTCTTTGTGTTGTGTGTATTCCACTCACAGAGTTGAACCTTTCTTGAGAGAGAGCAGAGTTGAAACACTCTGTTTGTGGAATTTGCTAGTGCAGATTTCAAACGCTTCGAAGACAGTGATAGAAAAGGATATATCTTCGTATTAAAACTAGACAAAATCATTCTCAGAAAACACTTTGTGATGTGTGTGTTCAACTCACAGAGTTTAACCTTTCTTTAATCGAGCAGTTTGGAAATACACTCTTTGTAAGTCTGCAGCTGGATAATTGTCCCTCTATGAGCCCTTCGTTGGAAACGGGATTTCCTCTTATAATGCTAGACAGAAGAATTCTCAGTAACTTCTTTGTGTTGTTTGTATTCAACTCACAGATTTGAACCTTCCTTTGGAGAGAGCAGATTTGAAACACTCTGTTTTTGGAATTTGCAAGTGCAGATTGCAAGCGCTTCTAGGCCTATGGCAGAAAAGGAAATATCTTCGTATAAAAACTACACAGAATCATTCTCAACAACTACTTTGTGATGTGTGCGTTCAACTCACAGAGTTTAACCTTTCTTTTCATAGAGCAGTTTGGAAACACTCTGTTTGTAAAGTCTGCAGGTGCTTATTTGGACTTCTTTGAGGCCTTCGTTGGAAACGGGATTTCTTCATATAATGCTAGACAGAAGAATTCTCAGTCACTTCTTTGTGTTGTGTGTATTCAAGTCACAGAGTTGAACCTTCCTTTACACAGAGCAGTTTTGAAAAACTCTTTCTGTGGAATTTGCAAGTGGAGATTTCAAGCGATTTGAGGCTAATCTTTGAAATGGAAATATCTTCGTGTAAAAACTACACAGAATCATTGTCAGAAACTGCTTTGTTATGTGTGCGTTCAGCTCACAGAGTTCCACCTTTCTTTTCATAGAGCAGTTTGGAAAGACTCTGTCTGTAAAGTCTGCAAGTGATTACTTGGACCCCTTTGAGGACTTCGTTGGAAGCGGGATTTTTTCATTTACTGCTAGACAGAAGAATTCTCAGTAAATCCTTTGTGTTGTGTGTATTCAACTCACAGAGTGGAACCTTCCTTTATTCAGAGCAGTTTTGAAACACTCTTTTTGTGGAATTTGCAAGTGGAGATTTCAAGCGAATTCACGCCAATCTTAGACATGGAAACATCTTCGTATTAAAAGTACACAGAGTCATTCGCAGAAACTAGTTTGTGATGTGTGCCTTCAACTCACGGAGTTTAACCTTTCTTTTCATAGAGCAGTTTGGAAACACTCTATTTGTAAGTCTGCAAGTGGATATTTGGACCTCTTTGAGGCCTTCGTTGGAAACGGGATTTCTTCATATAACGCTAGACAGAAGAATTCTCAGTAACTTCTTTGTGTTGTTTGTATTCAACACACAGATTTGAACCTTCCTTTAGAGAGAGCAGATTTGAAACACGCTGTTTTTGGAATTTGCAAGTGCAGATTTCAAGCGCTTCTAGGCCTATGGCAGAAAAGGAAATATCTTCGTATAAAAACTACACAGAATCATTCTCAACAACTACTTTGTGATGTGTGCGTTCAACTCACAGAGTTTAACCTTTCTTTTCATAGAGCAGTTTGGAAACACTCTGTTTGTAAAGCCTGCAAGTGCTTTTTTGGACTTCATTGAGGCCTTCGTTGGAAACGGGATTTCTTCATGTAATGCTAGACAGAAGAATTCTCAGTCATTTCTTTGTGTTGTGTGTATTCAAGTCACAGAGTTGAACCTTCCTTTAGACAGAGCAGTTTTGAAAAATTCTTTCTGTGGAGTTTGCAAGTGGAGATTTCAAGCGATTTGAGGCTAATCTTTGAAATGGAAATATCTTCGTGTAAAAACTACACAGAATCATTCTCAGAAACTGCTTTGTCATCTGTGCGTTCAGTTCACAGAGTTTCACCTTTCTCTTCATAGAGCAGTTTGGAAAGACTCTGTCTGTAAAGTCTGCAAGTGATTAGTTAGACCCCTTTGAGGCCTTCGTTGGAAGCGGGATTTCTCATTTACTGCTAGACAGAAGAATTCTCAGTAAATCCTTTGTGTTGTGTGTATTCAACTCACAGAGTGGAACCTTCCTTTATTCAGAGAAGTTTTGAAAAACACTTTTTGTGGAATTTGCAAGTGGAGATTTCAAGCGATTTGACACCAATCTTAGACATGGAAATATGTTCATATTAAAAGTACACAGAAGTCATTCGTAGAAACTAGTTTGTGATGTGTGCCTTCAACTCACAGGAGTTTAACCTTTCTTTTCATAGAGCAGTTGGGAAACACTCTATTTGTAAAGTCTGCAAGTGGATATTTGGACCTCTTTGAGGCCTTCGTTGGAAACGGGATTTCTTCATATAACGCTAGACAGAAGAATTCTCAGTAACTTCTTTGTGTTGTGTGTATTCAACTCACAGAGTTGAACCTTTCTTTAGAGGGAGCAGAGGTGAAACACTCTTTTTGTGGAATTTGCTAGTGTAGATTTCAAACGCTTCGAAGACAGTGATAGAAAAGGATATATCTTCGTATTAAAAGTAGACAAAATCATTCTCAGAAAACTCTTTGTGATGTGTGTGTTCAACTCACAGAGTTTAACCTTTCTTTAATCGAGCAGTTTGGAAATACACTCTTTGTAAGTCTGCAGGTGGATATTTGGCCCTCTTTGAGCCCTTCGTTGGAAACGGGATTTCCTCATATAATGCTAGACAGAAGAATTCTCAGTAACTTCTTTGTGTTGTTTGTATTCAACACACAGATTTGAACCTTCCTTTAGAGAGAGCAGATTTGAAACACTCTGTTTTTGGAATTTGCAAGTGCAGATTTCAAGCGCTTCTAGGCCTATGGCAGAAAAGGAAATATCTTCGTATAAAAACTACACAGAATCATTCTCAACAACTACTTTGTGATGTGTGCGTTCAACTCACAGAGTTTAACCTTTCTTTTCATAGAGCAGTTTGGAAACACTCTGTTTGTAAAGCCTGCAAGTGCTTTTTTGGACTTCATTGAGGCCTTCGTTGGAAACGGGATTTCTTCATATAATGCTAGACAGAAGAATTCTCAGTCACTTCTTTGTGTTGTGTGTATTCAAGTCACAGAGTTGAACCTTCCTTTAGACAGAGCAGTTTTGAAAAATTCTTTCTGTGTAATTTGCAAGTGGAGATTTCAAGCGATTTGAGGCTAATCCTTTGAAATGGAAATATCTTCGTGTAAAAACTACACAGAATCATTCTCAGAAACTGCTTTGTCATCTGTGCGTTCAGTTCACAGAGTTTCACCTTTCTCTTCATAGAGCAGTTTGGAAAGACTCTGTCTGTAAAGTCTGCAAGTGATTAGTTAGACCCCTTTGAGGCCTTCGTTGGAAGCGGGATTTCTCATTTACTGCTAGACAGAAGAATTCTCAGTAAATCCTTTGTGTTGTGTGTATTCAACTCACAGAGTGGAACCTTCCTTTATTCAGAGCAGTTTTGAAACACTCTTTTTGTGGAATTTGCAAGTGGAGATTTCAAGCGATTTGACGCCAATCTTAGACATGGAAATATCTTCATATTAAAAGTACACAGAGTCATTCGTAGAAACTAGTTTGTGATGTGTGCCTTCAACTCACAGAGTTTAACCTTTCTTTTCATAGAGCAGTTGGGAAACACTCTATTTGTAAAGTCTGCAAGTGGATATTTGGACCTCTTTGAGGCCTTCGTTGGAAACGGGATTTCTTCATATAACGCTAGACAGAAGAATTCTCAGTAACTTCTTTGTGTTGTGTGTATTCAACTCACAGAGTTGAACCTTTCTTTAGAGGGAGCAGAGGTGAAACACTCTTTTTGTGGAATTTGCTAGTGTAGATTTCAAACGCTTCGAAGACAGTGATAGAAAAGGATATATCTTCGTATTAAAAGTAGACAAAATCATTCTCAGAAAACTCTTTGTGATGTGTGTGTTCAACTCACAGAGTTTAACCTTTCTTTAATCGAGCAGTTTGGAAATACACTCTTTGTAAGTCTGCAGGTGGATATTTGGCCCTCTTTGAGCCCTTCGTTGGAAACGGGATTTCCTCATATAATGCTAGACAGAAGAATTCTCAGTAACTTCTTTGTGTTGTTTGTATTCAACACACAGATTTGAACCTTCCTTTAGAGAGAGCAGATTTGAAACACGCTGTTTTTGGAATTTGCAAGTGCAGATTTCAAGCGCTTCTAGGCCTATGGCAGAAAAGGAAATATCTTCGTATAAAAACTACACAGAATCATTCTCAGAAAACACTTTGTGATGTGTGTGTTCAACTCACAGAGTTTAACCTTTCTTTAATCGAGCAGTTTGGAAATACACTCTTTGTAAGTCTGCAGCTGGATAATTGTCCCTCTAGGAGCCCTTCGTTGGAAACGGGATTTCCTCTTATAATGCTAGACAGAAGAATTCTCAGTCACTTCTTTGTGTTGTGTGTATTCAAGTCACAGAGTTGAACCTTCCTTTACACAGAGCAGTTTTGAAAAACTCTTTCTGTGGAATTTGCAAGTGGAGATTTCAAGCGATTTGAGGCTAATCTTTGAAATGGAAATATCTTCGTGTAAAAACTACACAGAATCTTTCTCAGAAACTGCTTTGTTATGTGTGCGTTCAGCTCACAGAGTTCCACCTTTCTTTTCATAGAGCAGTTTGGAAAGACTCTGTCTGTAAAGTCTGCAAGTGATTACTTGGACCCCTTTGAGGACTTCGTTGGAAGCGGGATTTTTTCATTTACTGCTAGACAGAAGAATTCTCAGTAAATCCTTTGTGTTGTGTGTATTCAACTCACAGAGTGGAACCTTCCTTTATTCAGAGCAGTTTTGAAACACTCTTTTTGTGGAATTTGCAAGTGGAGATTTCAAGCGAATTCACGCCAATCTTAGACATGGAAACATCTTCGTATTAAAAGTACACAGAGTCATTCGCAGAAACTAGTTTGTGATGTGTGCCTTCAACTCACAGTTTAACCTTTCTTTTCATAGAGCAGTTTGGAAACACTCTATTTGTAAAGTCTGCAAGTGGATATTTGGACCTCTTTGAGGCCTTCGTTGGAAACGGGATTTCTTCATATAACGCTAGACAGAAGAATTCTCAGTAACTTCTTTGTGTTGTGTGTATTCCACTCACAGAGTTGAACCTTTCTTGAGAGAGAGCAGAGTTGAAACACTCTGTTTGTGGAATTTGCTAGTGCAGATTTCAAACGCTTCGAAGACAGTGATAGAAAAGGATATATCTTCGTATTAAAACTAGACAAAATCATTCTCAGAAAACACTTTGTGATGTGTGTGTTCAACTCACAGAGTTTAACCTTTCTTTAATCGAGCAGTTTGGAAATGCACTCTTTGTAATTCTGCAGGTGGATAATTGTCCCTCTATGAGCCCTTCGTTGGAAACGGGATTTCCTCATATAATGCTAGACAGAAGAATTCTCAGTAACTTCTTTGTGTTGTTTGTATTCAACTCACAGATTTGAACCTTCCTTTGGAGAGAGCAGATTTGAAACACTCTGTTTTTGGAATTTGCAAGTGCAGATTGCAAGCGCTTCTAGGCCTATGGCAGAAAAGGAAATATCTTCGTATAAAAACTACACAGAATCATTCTCAACAACTACTTTGTGATGTGTGCGTTCAACTCACAGAGTTTAACCTTTCTTTTCATAGAGCAGTTTGGAAACACTCTGTTTGTAAAGTCTGCCGGTGCTTATTTGGACTTCTTTGAGGCCTTCGTTGGAAACGGGATTTCTTCATATAATGCTAGACAGAAGAATTCTCAGTCACTTCTTTGTGTTGTGTGTATTCAAGTCACAGAGTTGAACCTTCCTTTACACAGAGCAGTTTTGAAAAACTCTTTCTGTGGAATTTGCAAGTGGAGATTTCAAGCGATTTGAGGCTAATCTTTGAAATGGAAATATTCTTCGTGTAAAAACTACACAGAATCATTCTCAGAAACTGCTTTGTCATCTGTGCGTTCAGTTCACAGAGTTTCACCTTTCTCTTCATAGAGCAGTTTGGAAAGACTCTGTCTGTAAAGTCTGCAAGTGATTAGTTAGACCCCTTTGAGGCCTTCGTTGGAAGCGGGATTTCTCATTTACTGCTAGACAGAAGAATTCTCAGTAAATCCTTTGTGTTGTGTGTATTCAACTCACAGAGTGGAACCTTCCTTTATTCAGAGCAGTTTTGAAACACTCTTTTTGTGGAATTTGCAAGTGGAGATTTCAAGCGATTTGACGCCAATCTTAGACATGGAAATATCTTCATATTAAAAGTACACAGAGTCATTCGTAGAAACTAGTTTGTGATGTGTGCCTTCAACTCACAGAGTTTAACCTTTCTTTTCATAGAGCAGTTTGGAAACACTCTATTTGTAAAGTCTGCAAGTGGATATTTGGACCTCTTTGAGGCCTTCGTTGGAAACGGGATTTCTTCATATAACGCTAGACAGAAGAATTCTCAGTAACTTCTTTGTGTTGTGTGTATTCAACTCACAGAGTTGAACCTTTCTTTAGAGGGAGCAGAGGTGAAACACTCTTTTTGTGGAATTTGCTAGTGTAGATTTCAAACGCTTCGAAGACAGTGATAGAAAAGGATATATCTTCGTATTAAAAGTAGACAAAATCATTCTCAGAAAACTCTTTGTGATGTGTGTGTTCAACTCACAGAGTTTAACCTTTCTTTAATCGAGCAGTTTGGAAATACACTCTTTGTAAGTCTGCAGGTGGATAATTGGCCCTCTTTGAGCCCTTCGTTGGAAACGGGATTTCCTCATATAATGCTAGACAGAAGAATTCTCAGTCACTTCTTTGTGTTGTGTGTATTCAAGTCACAGAGTTGAACCTTCCTTTAGACAGAGCAGTTTTGAAAAATTCTTTCTGTGGAGTTTGCAAGTGGAGATTTCAAGCGATTTGAGGCTAATCTTTGAAATGGAAATATCTTCGTGTAAAAACTACACAGAATCATTCTCAGAAATTGCTTTGTCATCTGTGCGTTCAGTTCACAGAGTTTCACCTTTCTCTTCATAGAGCAGTTTGGAAAGACTCTGTCTGTAATGTCTGCAAGTGATTAGTTAGAACCCTTTGAGGCCTTCGTTGGAAGCGGGATTTCTCATTTACTGCTAGACAGAAGAATTCTCAGTAAATCCTTTGTGTTGTGTGTATTCAACTCACAGAGTGGAACCTTCCTTTATTCAGAGCAGTTTTGAAACACTCTTTTTGTGGAATTTGCAAGTGGAGATTTCAAGCGATTTGACGCCAATCTTAGACATGGAAATATCTTCATATTAAAAGTACACAGAGTCATTCGTAGAAACTAGTTTGTGATGTGTGCCTTCAAATCACGGAGTTTAACCTTTCTTTTCATAGAGCAGTTCGGAAACACTCTATTTCTAAAGTCTGCAAGTGGATATTTTGACCTCTTTGAGGCCTTCTTTGGAAACGGGATTTCTTCATATAACGCTAGACAGAAGAATTCTCAGTAACTTCTTTGTGTTGTGTGTATTCAACTCACAGAGTTGAACCTTTCTTGAGAGAGAGCAGAGTTGAAACACTCTTTTTGTGGAATTTGCTAGTGCAGATTTCAAACGCTTCGAAGACAGTGATAGAAAAGGATATATCTTCGTATTAAAACTAGACAAAATCCTTCTCAGAAAACACTTTGTGATGTGTGTGTTCAACTCACAGAGTTTAACCTTTCTTTAATCGAGCAGTTTGGAAATACACTCTTTGTAAGTCTGCAGGTGGATAATTGGCCCTCTTTGAGCCCTTCGTTGGAAACGGGATTTCCTCATATAATGCTAGACAGAAGAATTCTCAGTCACTTCTTTGTGTTGTGTGTATTCAAGTCACAGAGTTGAACCTTCCTTTACACAGAGCAGTTTTGAAAAACTCTTTCTGTGGAATTTGCAAGTGGAGATTTCAAGCGATTTGAGGCTAATCTTTGAAATGGAAATAGCTTCGTGTAAAAACTACACAGAATCATTCTCAGAAACTGCTTTGTTATGTGTGCGTTCAGCTCACAGAGTTCCACCTTTCTTTTCATAGAGCAGTTTGGAAAGACTCTGTCTGTAAAGTCTGCAAGTGATTACTTGGACCCCTTTGAGGACTTCGTTGGAAGCGGGATTTTTTCATTTACTGCTAGACAGAAGAATTCTCAGTAAATCCTTTGTGTTGTGTGTATTCAACTCACAGAGTGGAACCTTCCTTTATTCAGAGCAGTTTTGAAACACTCTTTTTGTGGAAATTGCAAGTGGAGATTTCAAGCGAATTCACGCCAATCTTAGACATGGAAACATCTTCGTATTAAAAGTACACAGAGTCATTCGCAGAAACTAGTTTGTGATGCGTGCCTTCAACTCACGGAGTTTAACCTTTCTTTTCATAGAGCAGTTTGGAAACACTCTATTTGTAAAGTCTGCAAGTGGATATTTGGACCTCTTTGAGGCCTTCGTTGGAAACGGGATTTCTTCATATAACGCTAGACAGAAGAATTCTCAGTAACTTCTTTGTGTTGTGTGTATTCCACTCACAGAGTTGAACCTTTCTTGAGAGAGAGCAGAGTTGAAACACTCTTTCTGTGGAATTTGCTAGTGCAGATTTCAAACGCTTCGAAGACAGTGATAGAAAAGGATATATCTTCGTATTAAAACTAGACAAAGTCATTCGCAGAAACTAGTTTGTGATGTGTGCGTTCAACTCACAGAGTTTAACCTTTCTTTTCATAGAGCAGTTTGGAAACACTCTGTTTGTAAAGTCTGCAGGTGCTTATTTGGACTTCTTTGAGGCCTTCGTTGGATACGGGATTTCTTCATATAATGCTAGACAGAAGAATTCTCAGTCACTTCTTTGTGTTGTGTGTATTCAAGTCACAGAGTTGAACCTTCCTTTACACAGAGCAGTTTTGAAAAACTCTTTCTGTGGAATTTGCAAGTGGAGATTTCAAGCGATTTGAGGCTAATCTTTGAAATGGAAATATCTTCGTGTAAAAACTACACAGAATCATTCTCAGAAACTGCTTTGTTATGTGTGCGTTCAGCTCACAGAGTTCCACCTTTCTTTTCATAGAGCAGTTTGGAAAGACTCTGTCTGTAAAGTCTGCAAGTGATTACTTGGACCCCTTTGAGGACTTCGTTGGAAGCGGGATTTTTTCATTTACTGCTAGACAGAAGAATTTTCAGTAAATCCTTTGTGTTGTGTGTATTCAACTCACAGAGTGGAACCTTCCTTTATTCAGAGCAGTTTTGAAACACTCTTTTTGTGGAATTTGCAAGTGGAGATTTCAAGCGAATTCACGCCAATCTTAGACATGGAAACATCTTCGTATTAAAAGTACACAGAGTCATTCGCAGAAACTAGTTTGTGATGTGTGCCTTCAACTCACAGAGTTTAACCTTTCTTTTCATAGAGCAGTTTGGAAACACTCTATTTGTAAAGTCTGCAAGTGGATATTTGGACCTCTTTGAGGCCTTCGTTGGAAACGGGATTTCTTCATATAATGCTAGACAGAAGAATTCTCAGTAACTTCTTTGTGTTGTGTGTATTCCACTCACAGAGTTGAACCTTTCTTGAGAGAGAGCAGAGTTGAAACACTCTGTTTGTGGAATTTGCTAGTGCAGATTTCAAACGCTTCGAAGACAGTGATAGAAAAGGATATATCTTCGTATTAAAACTAGACAAAATCATTCTCAGAAAACACTTTGTGATGTGTGTGTTCAACTCACAGAGTTTAACCTTTCTTTAATCGAGCAGTTTGGAAATACACTCTTTGTAAGTCTGCAGCTGGATAATTGTCCCTCTATGAGCCCTTCGTTGGAAACGGGATTTCCTCATATAATGCTAGACAGAAGAATTCTCAGTCACTTCTTTGTGTTGTGTGTATTCAAGTCACAGAGTTGAACCTTCCTTTACACAGAGCAGTTTTGAAAAACTCTTTCTGTGGAATTTGCAAGTGGAGATTTCAAGCGATTTGAGGCTAATCTTTGAAATGGAAATATCTTCGTGTAAAAACTACACAGAATCATTGTCAGAAACTGCTTTGTTATGTGTGCGTTCAGCTCACAGAGTTCCACCTTTCTTTTCATAGAGCAGTTTGGAAAGACTCTGTCTGTAAAGTCTGCAAGTGATTACTTGGACCCCTTTGAGGACTTCGTTGGAAGCGGGATTTTTTCATTTACTGCTAGACAGAAGAATTCTCAGTAAATCCTTTGTGTTGTGTGTATTCAACTCACAGAGTGGAACCTTCCTTTATTCAGAGCAGTTTTGAAACACTCTTTTTGTGGAATTTGCAAGTGGAGATTTCAAGCGAATTCACGCCAATCTTAGACATGGAAACATCTTCGTATTAAAAGTACACAGAGTCATTCGCAGAAACTAGTTTGTGATGTGTGCCTTCAACTCACAGAGTTTAACCTTTCTTTTCATAGAGCAGTTTGGAAACACTCTATTTGTAAAGTCTGCAAGTGGATATTTGGACCTCTTTGAGGCCTTCGTTGGAAACGGGATTTCTTCATATAACGCTAGACAGAAGAATTCTCAGTAACTTCTTTGTGTTGTGTGTATTCCACTCACAGAGTTGAACCTTTCTTGAGAGAGAGCAGAGTTGAAACACTCTGTTTGTGGAATTTGCTAGTGCAGATTTCAAACGCTTCGTAGACAGTGATAGAAAAGGATATATCTTCGTATTAAAACTAGACAAAATCATTCTCAGAAAACACTTTGTGATGTGTGTGTTCAACTCACAGAGTTTAACCTTTCTTTAATCGAGCAGTTTGGAAATACACTCTTTGTAAGTCTGCAGCTGGATAATTGTCCCTCTATGAGCCCTTCGTTGGAAACGGGATTTCCTCATATAATGCTAGACAGAAGAATTCTCAGTCACTTCTTTGTGTTGTGTGTATTCAAGTCACAGAGTTGAACCTTCCTTTACACAGAGCAGTTTTGAAAAACTCTTTCTGTGGAATTTGCAAGTGGAGATTTCAAGCGATTTGAGGCTAATCTTTGAAATGGAAATATCTTCGTGTAAAAACTACACAGAATCATTCTCAGAAACTGCTTTGTTATGTGTGCGTTCAGCTCACAGAGTTCCACCTTTCTTTTCATAGAGCAGTTTGGAAAGACTCTGTCTGTAAAGTCTGCAAGTGATTACTTGGACCCCTTTGAGGACTTCGTTGGAAGCGGGATTTTTTCATTTACTGCTAGACAGAAGAATTCTCAGTAAATCCTTTGTGTTGTGTGTATTCAACTCACAGAGTGGAACCTTCCTCTATTCAGAGCAGTTTTGAAACATTCTTTTTGTGGAATTTGCAGGTGGAGATTTCAAGCGAATTCACGCCAATCTTAGACATGGAAACATCTTCGTATTAAAAGTACACAGAGTCATTCGCAGAAACTAGCTTGTAATGTGTGCCTTCAACTCACGGAGTTTAACCTTTCTTTTCATAGAGCAGTTTGGAAACACTCTATTTGTAAAGTCTGCAAGTGGATATTTGGACCTCTTTGAGGCCTTCGTTGGAAACGGGATTTCTTCATATAACGCTAGACAGAAGAATTCTCAGTAACTTCTTTGTGTTGTTTGTATTCAACTCACAGATTTGAACCTTCCTTTGGAGAGAGCAGATTTGAAACACTCTGTTTTTGGAATTTGCAAGTGCAGATTACAAGCGCTTCTAGGCCTATGGCAGAAAAGGAAATATCTTCGTATAAAAACTACACAGAATCATTCTCAACAACTACTTTGTGATGTGTGCGTTCAACTCACAGAGTTTAACCTTTCTTTTCATAGAGCAGTTTGGAAACACTCTGTTTGTAAAGTCTGCAGGTGCTTATTTGGACTTCTTTGAGGCCTTCGTTGGAAACGGGATTTCTTCATATAATGCTAGACAGAAGAATTCTCAGTCACTTCTTTGTGTTGTGTGTATTCAAGTCACAGAGTTGAACCTTCCTTTACACAGAGCAGTTTTGAAAAACTCTTTCTGTGGAATTTGCAAGTGGAGATTTCAAGCGATTTGAGGCTAATCTTTGAAATGGAAATATCTTCGTGTAAAAACTACACAGAATCATTCTCAGAAACTGCTTTGTCATCTGTGCGTTCAGTTCACAGAGTTTCACCTTTCTCTTCATAGAGCAGTTTGGAAAGACTCTGTCTGTAAAGTCTGCAAGTGATTAGTTAGACCCCTTTGAGGCCTTCTTTGGAAGCGGGATTTCTCATTTACTGCTAGACAGAAGAATTCTCAGTAAATCCTTTGTGTTGTGTGTATTCAACTCACAGAGTGGAACCTTCCTTTATTCAGAGCAGTTTTGAAAAACACTTTTTGTGGAATTTGCAAGTGGAGATTTCAGGCGATTTGACGCCAATCTTAGACATGGAAATATCTTCATATTAAAAGTACACAGAGTCATTCGTAAAAACTAGTTTGTGATGTGTGCCTTCAACTCACAGAGTTTAACCTTTCTTTTCATAGAGCAGTTTGGAAACACTCTATTTGTAAAGTCTGCAAGTGGATATTTGGACCTCTTTGAGGCCTTTGTTGGAAAAGGGATTTCTTCGTATAACGCTAGACAGAAGAATTCTCAGTAACTTCTTTGTGTTGTGTGTATTCAACTCACAGAGTTGAACCTTTCTTTAGAGAGAGCAGAGTTGAAACACTCTGTTTTTGGAATTTGCAAGTGCAGATTTCAAGCGAATCTAGGCCTATGGCAGAAAAGGAAATATCTTCGTATAAAAACTACACAGAATCATTCTCAACAACTACTTTGTGATGTGTGTGTTCAACTCACAGAGTTTAACCTTTCTTTTCATAGAGCAGTTTGGAAACACTCTGTTTGTAAAGCCTGCAAATGCTTTTTTGGACTTCATTGAGGCCTTCGTTGGAAACGGGATTTCTTCATATAATGCTAGACAGAAGAATTCTCAGTCACTTCTTTGTGTTGTGTGTATTCAAGTCACAGAGTTGAACCTTCTTTTAGACAGAGCAGTTTTGAAAAATTTTTTCTGTGGAATTTGCAAGTGGAGATTTCAAGCGATTTGAGGCTAATCTTTGAAATGGAAATATCTTCGTGTAAAAACTGCACAGAAGCATTCTCAGAGACTGCTTTGTCATCTGTGCGTTCAGTTCACAGAGTTTCACCTTTCTCTTCATAGAGCAGTTTGGAAAGACTCTGTCTTTAAGGTCTGCAAGTGATTAGTTAGACCCCTTTGAGGCCATCGTTGGAAGCGGGATTTCTCATTTACTGCTAGACAGAAGAATTCTCAGTAAATCCTTTGTGTTGTGTGTATTCAACTCACAGAGTGGAACCTTCCTTTATTCAGAGCAGTTTTGAAAAACACTTTTTGTGGAATTTGCAAGTGGAGATTTCAAACGATTTGACGCCAATCTTAGACATGGAAATATCTTCATATTAAAAGTACACAGAGTCATTCGTAGAAACTAGTTTGTGATGTGTGCCTTCAACTCACAGAGTTTAACCTTTCTTTTCATAGAGCAGTTCGGAAACACTCTATTTGTAAAGTCTGCAAGTGGATATTTGGACCTCTTTGAGGTCTTCGTTGGAAACGGGATTTCTTCATATAACGCTAGACAGAAGAATTCTCAGTAACTTCTTTGTGTTGTGTGTATTCCACTCACAGAGTTGAACCTTTCTTGAGAGAGAGCAGAGTTGAAACACTCTTTCTGTGGAATTTGCTAGTGCAGATTTCAAACGCTTCGAAGACAGTGATAGAAAAGGATATATCTTCGTATTAAAACTAGACAAAATCATTCTCGACAACTACTTTGTGATGTGTGCGTTCAACTCACAGAGTTTAACCTTTCTTTTCATAGAGCAGTTTGGAAACACTCTGTTTGTAAAGTCTGCAGGTGCTTATTTGGACTTCTTTGAGGCCTTCGTTGGAAACGGGATTTCTTCATATAATGCTAGACAGAAGAATTCTCAGTCACTTCTTTGTGTTTTGTGTATTCAAGTCACAGAGTTGAACCTTCCTTTACACAGAGCAGTTTTGAAAAACTCTTTCTGTGGAATTTGCAAGTGGAGATTTCAAGCGATTTGAGGCTAATCTTTGAAATGGAAATATCTTCGTGTAAAAACTACACAGAATCATTCTCAGAAACTGCTTTGTTATGTGTGCGTTCAGCTCACAGAGTTCCACCTTTCTTTTCATAGAGCAGTTTGGAAAGACTCTGTCTGTAAAGTCTGCAAGTGATTACTTGGACCCCTTTGAGGACTTCGTTGGAAGCGGGATTTTTTCATTTACTGCTAGACAGAAGAATTCTCAGTAAATCCTTTGTGTTGTGTGTATTCAACATACAGAGTGGAACCTTCCTTTATTCAGAGCACTTTTGAAACACTCTTTTTGTGGAATTTGCAAGTGGAGATTTCAAGCGAATTCACGCCAATCTTAGACATGGAAACATCTTCGTATTAAAAGTACACAGAGTCATTCGCAGAAACTAGTTTGTGATGTGTGCCTTCAACGCACGGAGTTTAACCTTTCTTTTCATAGAGCAGTTTGGAAACACTCTATTTGTAAAGTCTGCAAGTGGATATTTGGACCTCTTTGAGGCCTTCGTTGGAAACGGGATTTCTTCATATAATGCTAGACAGAAGAATTCTCAGTAACTTCTTTGTGTTGTGTGTATTCCACTCACAGAGTTGAACCTTTCTTGAGAGAGAGCAGAGTTGAAACACTCTGTTTGTGGAATTTGCTAGTGCAGATTTCAAACGCTTCGAAGACAGTGATAGAAAAGGATATATCTTCGTATTAAAACTAGACAAAATCATTCTCAACAACTACTTTGTGATGTGTGCGTTCAACTCACAGAGTTTAACCTTTCTTTTCATAGAGCAGTTTGGAAACACTCTGTTTTTAAAGCCTGCAAGTGCTTTTTTGGACTTCATTGAGGCCTTCGTTGGAAACGGGATTTCTTCATACAACGCTAGACAGAAAGGAATTCTCAGTCACTTCTTTGTGTTGTGTGTATTCAAGTCACAGAGCTGAACCTTCCTTTACACAGAGCAGTTTTGAAAAACTATTTCTGTGGAATTTGCAAGTGGAGATTTCAAGCGATTTGAGGCTAATCTTTGAAATGGAAATAGCTTCGTGTAAAAACTACACAGAATCATTCTCAGAAACTGCTTTGTCATCTGTGCGTTCAGTTCACAGAGTTTCACCTTTCTCTTCATAGAGCAGTTTGGAAAGACTCTGTCTGTAAAGTCTGCAAGTGATTAGTTAGACCCCTTTGAGGCCTTCGTTGGAAGCGGGATTTCTCATTTACTGCTAGACAGAAGAATTCTCAGTAAATCCTTTGTGTTGTGTGTATTCAACTCACAGAGTGGAACCTTCCTTTATTCAGAGCAGTTTTGAAAAACACTTTTTGTGGAATTTGCAAGTGGAGATTTCAAGCGATTTGACGCCAATCTTAGACATGGAAATATCTTCATATTAAAAGTACACAGAGTTATTCGTAGAAACTAGTTTGTGATGTGTGCCTTCAACTCACAGAGTTTAACCTTTCTTTTCATAGAGCAGTTTGGAAACACTCTATTTGTAAAATCTGCAGGTGGATATTTGGACCTCTTTGAGGCCTTCGTTGGAAACGGGATTTCTTCATACAACGCTAGACAGAAGAATTCTCAGTAACTTCTTTGTGTTGTGTGTATTCAACTCACAGAGTTGAACCTTTCTTTAGAGAGAGCAGAGTTGAAACACTCTGTTTTTGGAATTTGCAAGTGCAGATTTCAAGCGCTTCTAGGCCTATGGCAGAAAAGGAAATATCTTCGTATAAAAACTACACAGAATCATTCTCAACAACTACTTTGTGATGTGTGTGTTCAACTCACAGAGTTTAACCTTTCTTTTCATAGAGCAGTTTGGAAACACTCTGTTTGTAAAGCCTGCAAGTGCTTTTTTGGACTTCATTGAGGCCTTCGTTGGAAACGGGATTTCTTCATATAATGCTAGACAGAAGAATTCTCAGTCACTTCTTTGTGTTGTGTGTATTCAAGTCACAGAGTTGAACCTTCCTTTAGACAGAGCAGTTTTGAAAAATTCTTTCTGTGGAATTTGCAAGTGGAGATTTCAAGCGATTTGAGGCTAATCTTTGAAATGGAAATATCTTCGTGTAAAAACTACACAGAATCATTGTCAGAAACTGCTTTGTTATGTGTGCGTTCAGCTCACAGAGTTCCACCTTTCTTTTCATAGAGCAGTTTGGAAAGACTCTGTCTGTAAAGTCTGCAAGTGATTACTTGGACCCCTTTGAGGACTTCGTTGGAAGCGGGATTTTTTCATTTACTGCTAGACAGAAGAATTCTCAGTAAATCCTTTGTGTTGTGTGTATTCAACTCACAGAGTGGAACCTTCCTTTATTCAGAGCAGTTTTGAAACACTCTTTTTGTGGAATTTGCAAGTGGAGATTTCAAGCGAATTCACGCCAATCTTAGACATGGAAACATCTTCGTATTAAAAGTACACAGAGTCATTCGCAGAAACTAGTTTGTGATGTGTGCCTTCAACTCACAGAGTTTAACCTTTCTTTTCATAGAGCAGTTTGGAAACACTCTATTTGTAAAGTCTGCAAGTGGATATTTGGACCTCTTTGAGGCCTTCGTTGGAAACGGGATTTCTTCATATAACGCTAGACAGAAGAATTCTCAGTAACTTCTTTGTGTTGTGTGTATTCCACTCACAGAGTTGAACCTTTCTTGAGAGAGAGCAGAGTTGAAACACTCTGTTTGTGGAATTTGCTAGTGCAGATTTCAAACGCTTCGAAGACAGTGATAGAAAAGGATATATCTTCGTATTAAAACTAGACAAAATCATTCTCAGAAAACACTTTGTGATGTGTGTGTTCAACTCACAGAGTTTAACCTTTCTTTAATCGAGCAGTTTGGAAATACACTCTTTGTAAGTCTGCAGGTGGATAATTGTCCCTCTATGAGCCCTTCGTTGGAAACGGGATTTCCTCTTATAATGCTAGACAGAAGAATTCTCAGTCACTTCTTTGTGTTGTGTGTATTCAAGTCACAGAGTTGAACCTTCCTTTAGACAGAGCAGTTTTGAAAAATTCTTTCTGTGGAGTTTGCAAGTGGAGATTTCAAGCGATTTGAGGCTAATCTTTGAAATGGAAATATCTTCGTGTAAAAACTACACAGAAGCATTCTCAGAAACTGCTTTGTCATCTGTGCGTTCAGTTCACAGAGTTTCACCTTTCTCTTCATAGAGCAGTTTGGAAAGATTCTGTCTGTAAAGTCTGCAAGTGATTAGTTAGACCCCTTTGAGGCCTTCGTTGGAAGCGGGATTTCTCATTTACTGCTAGACAGAAGAATTCTCAGTAAATCCTTTGTGTTGTGTGTATTCAACTCACAGAGTGGAACCTTCCTTTATTCAGAGCAGTTTTGAAACACTCTTTTTGTGGAATTTGCAAGTGGAGATTTCAAGCGAATTCACGCCCATCTTAGACATGGAAACATCTTCGTATTAAAAGTACACAGAGTCATTCGCAGAAACTTGTTTGTGATGTGTGCCTTCAACTCACAGAGTTTAACCTTTCTTTTCATAGAGCAGTTTGGAAACACTCTATTTGTAAAGTCTGCAAGTGGATATTTGGACCTCTTTGAGGCCTTCGTTGGAAACGGGATTTCTTCATATAACGCTAGACAGAAGAATTCTCAGTAACTTCTTTGTGTTGTGTGTATTCCACTCACAGAGTTGAACCTTTCTTGAGAGAGAGCAGAGTTGAAACACTCTGTTTGTGGAATTTGCTAGTGCAGATTTCAAACGCTTCGAAGACAGTGATAGAAAAGGATATATCTTCGTATTAAAACTAGACAAAATCATTCTCAGAAAACACTTTGTGATGTGTGTGTTCAACTCACAGAGTTTAACCTTTCTTTAATCGAGCAGTTTGGAAATACACTCTTTGTAAGTCTGCAGCTGGATAATTGTCCCTCTATGAGCCCTTCGTTGGAAACGGGATTTCCTCTTATAAAGCTAGACAGAAGAATTCTCAGTAACTTCTTTGTGTTGTTTGTATTCAACTCACAGATTTGAACCTTCCTTTGGAGAGAGCAGATTTGAAACACTCTGTTTTTGGAATTTGCAAGTGCAGATTGCAAGCGCTTCTAGGCCTATGGCAGAAAATTAAATATCTTCGTATAAAAACTACACAGAATCATTCTCAGAAAACTCTTTGTGATGTGTGTGTTCAACTCACAGAGTTTAACCTTTCTTTAATCGAGCAGTTTGGAAATACACTCTTTGTAAGTCTGCAGGTGGATATTTGGCCCTCTTTGAGCCCTTCGTTGGAAACGGGATTTCCTCATATAATGCTAGACAGAAGAATTCTCAGTAACTTCTTTGTGTTGTTTGTATTCAACTCACAGATTTGAACCTTCCTTTAGAGAGAGCAGTTTTGAAACACTCTGTTTTTGGAATTTGCAAGTGCAGATTTCAAGCGCTTCTGGGCCTATGGCAGAAAAGGAAATATCTTCGTATAAAAACTACACAGAATCATTCTCAACAACTACTTTGTGATGTGTGCGTTCAACTCACAGAGTTTAACCTTTCTTTTCATAGAGCAATTTGGAAACACTCTGTTTGTAAAGCCTGCAAGTGCTTTTTTGGACTTCATTGAGGCCTTCGTTGGAAACGGGATTTCTTCATATAATGCTAGACAGAAGAATTCTCAGTCACTTCTTTGTGTTGTGTGTATTCAAGTCACAGAGTTGAACCTTCCTTTAGACAGAGCAGTTTTGAAAAATTCTTTCTGTGGAGTTTGCAAGTGGAGATTTCAAGCGATTTGAGGCTAATCTTTGAAATGGAAATATCTTCGTGTAAAAGCTACACAGAATCATTCTCAGAAACTGCTTTGTTATCTGTGCGTTCAGTTCACAGAGTTTCACCTTTCTCTTCATAGAGCAGTTTGGAAAGACTCTGTCTGTAAAGTCCGCAAGTGATTAGTTAGACCCCTTTGAGGCCTTCGTTGGAAGCGGGATTTCTCATTTACTGCTAGACAGAAGAATTCTCAGTAAATCCTTTGTGTTGTGTGTATTCAACTCACAGAGTGGAACCTTCCTTTTTTCAGAGCAGTTTTGAAACACTCTTTTTGTGGAATTTGCAAGTGGAGATTTCAAGCGATTTGACGCCAATCTTAGACATGGAAATATCTTCATATTAAAAGTACACAGAGTCATTCGTAGAAACTAGTTTGTGATGTGTGCCTTCAACTCACAGAGTTTAACCTTTCTTTTCATAGAGCAGTTGGGAAACACTCTATTTGTAAAGTCTGCAAGTGGATATTTGGACCTCTTTGAGGCCTTCGTTGGAAACGGGATTTCTTCATATAACGCTAGACAGAAGAATTCTCAGTAACTTCTTTGTGTTGTGTGTATTCAACTCACAGAGTTGAACCTTTCTTTAGAGGGAGCAGAGGTGAAACAGTGTTTTTGTGGAATTTGCTAGTGTAGATTTCAAACGCTTCGAAGTCAGTGATAGAAAAGGAGATATCTTCGTATTAAAAGTAGACAAAATCATTCTCAGAAAACTCTTTGTGATGTGTGTGTTCAACTCACAGAGTTTAACCTTTCTTTAATCGAGCAGTTTGGAAATACACTCTTTGTAAGTCTGCAGGTGGATATTTGGCCCTCTTTGAGCCCTTCTTTGGAAACGGGATTTCCTCTTATAATGCTAGACAGAAGAATTCTCAGTAACTTCTCTGTGTTGTTTGTATTCAACTCACAGATTTGAACCTTCCTTTAGAGAGAGCAGATTTGAAACACTCTGTTTTTGGAATTTGCAAGTGCAGATTTCAAGCACTTCTAGGCCTATGGCAGAAAAGGAAATATCTTCGTATAAAAACTACACAGAATCATTCTCAGAAAACTCTTTGTGATGTGTGTGTTCAACTCACAGAGTTTAACCTTTCTTTAATCGAGCAGTTTGGAAATACACTCTTTGTAAGTCTGCAGGTGGATATTTGGCCCTCTTTGAGCCCTTCGTTGGAAACGGGATTTCCTCATATAATGCTAGACAGAAGAATTCTCAGTAACTTCTTTGTGTTGTTTGTATTCAACACACAGATTTGAACCTTCCTTTAGAGAGAGCAGATTTGAAACACTCTGTTTTTGGAATTTGCAAGTGCAGATTTCAAGCGCTTCTAGGCCTATGGCAGAAAAGGAAATATCTTCGTATAAAAACTGCACAGAATCATTCTCAACAACTACTTTGTGATGTGTGCGTTCAACTCACAAAGTTTAACCTTTCTTTTCATAGAGCAGTTTGGAAACACTCTGTTTGTAAAGCCTGCAATTCCTTTTTTGGACTTCATTGAGGCCTTCGTTGGAAACGGGATTTCTTCATATAATGCTAGACAGAAGAATTCTCAGTCACTTCTTTGTGTTGTGTGTATTCAAGTCACAGAGTTGAACCTTCCTTTAGACCGAGCAGTTTTGAAAAATTCTTTCTGTGGAGTTTGCAAGTGGAGATTTCAAGCGATTTGAGGCTAATCTTTGAAATGGAAATATCTTCGTGTAAAAACTACACAGAATCATTCTCAGAAACTGCTTTGTCATCTGTGCGTTCAGTTCACAGAGTTTCACCTTTCTCTTCATAGAGCAGTTTGGAAAGACTCTGTCTGTAAAGTCTGCAAGTGATTAGTTAGACCCCTTTGAGGCCTTCGTTGGAAGCGGGATTTCTCATTTACTGCTAGACAGAAGAATTCTCAGTAAATCCTTTGTGTTGTGTGTATTCAACTCACAGAGTGGAACCTTCCTTTATTCAGAGCAGTTTTGAAACACTCTTTTTGTGGAATTTGCAAGTGGAGATTTCAAGCGATTTGACGCCAATCTTAGACATGGAAAAATCTTCATATTAAAAGTACACAGAGTCATTCGCAGAAACTACTTTGTGATGTGTGCCTTCAACTCACAGAGTTTAACCTTTCTTTTCATAGAGCAGTTTGGAAACACTCTATTTGTAAAGTCTGCAAGTGGATATTTGGACCTCTTTGAGGCCTTCTTTGGAAACGGGATTTCTTCATGTAACGCTAGACAGAAGAATTCTCAGTAACTTCTTTGTGTTGTTTGTATTCAACTCACAGATTTGAACCTTCCTTTGGAGAGAGCAGATTTGAAACACTCTGTTTTTGGAATTTGCAAGTGCAGATTGCAAGCGCTTCTAGGCCTATGGCAGAAAAGGAAATATCTTCGTATAAAAACTACACAGGATCATTCTCAGAAAACACTTTGTGATGTGTGTGTTCAACTCACAGAGTTTAACCTTTCTTTAATCGAGCAGTTTGGAAATACACTCTTTGTAAGTCTGCAGGTGGATAATTGGCCCTCTTTGAGCCCTTCGTTGGAAACGGGATTTCCTCATATAATGCTAGACAGAAGAATTCTCAGTAACTTCTTTGTGTTGTTTGTATTCAACTCACAGATTTGAACCTTCCTTTAGAGAGGGCAGATTTGAAACACTCTGTTTTTGGAATTTGCAAGTGCAGATTTCAAGCGCTTCTAGGCCTATGGCAGAAAAGGAAATATCTTCGTATAAAAACTACACAGAATCATTCTCAACAACTACTTTGTGATGTGTGCGTTCAACTCACAGAGTTTAACCTTTCTTTTCATAGAGCAGTTTGGAAACACTCTGTTTGTAAAGCCTGCAAGTGCTTTTTTGGACTTCATTGAGGCCTTCGTTGGAAACGGGATTTCTTCATATAATGCTAGACAGAAGAATTCTCAGTCACTTCTTTGTGTTGTGTGTATTCAAGTCACAGAGTTGAACCTTCCTTTAGACAGAGCAGTTTTGAAAAATTCTTTCTGTGGAGTTTGCAAGTGGAGATTTCAAGCGATTTGAGGCTAATCTTTGAAATGGAAATATCTTCGTGTAAAAACTACACAGAATCATTCACAGAAACTGCTTTGTTATGTGTGCGTTCAACTCACAGAGTTTCACCTTTCTTTTCATACAGCAGTTTGGAAAGACTCTGTCTGTAAAGTCTGCAAGTGAATACTTGGACCCCTTTGAGGCCTTCGTTGGAAGTGGGATTTTTTCACTTACTGCTAGACAGAAGAATTCTCAGTAAATCCTTTGTGTTGTGTGTATTCAACTCACAGAGTTGAACCTTCCTTTATTCAGAGCAGTTTTGAAACACTCTTTTTGTGGAATTTGCAAGTGGAGATTTCAAGCGATTTCACGCCAATCTTAGACATGGAAATATCTTCGTATTAAAAGTACCCAGAGTCATTCACAGAAACCAGTTTGTGATGTGTGAGTTCAACTCACAGAGTTTAACATTTCTTTTCATATAGCAGTTTGGAAACACTCTATTTGTAAAGTATTCAAGTGGATATTTGGACCTCTTTGAGGCCTTCGTTGGAAACGGGATTTCTTCATATAACGCTAGACAGAAGAATTCTCAGTAACTTCTTTGTGTTGTGTTTATTCAACTCACAGAGTTGAACCTTTCCCTAGAGAGAGCAGATTTGAAACACTCTTTTTGTGGATTTTGCTAGTGCAGATTTCAAACGCTTCGAAGACAATGATAGACAAGGATATAACTTCGTATTAAAACTAGGCAAAATCATTCTCAACAACTACTTTGTGATGTGTGCGTTCAACTCACAGGAGTTTAACCTTTCTTTTCATAGAGCAGTTTGGAAACACCCTGTTTGTAAAGTCTGCAGGTGCTTATTTGGACTTCTTTGAGGCCTTCGTTGGAAACGGGATTTCTTCATATAATGCTAGACAGAAGAATTCTCAGTCACTTCTTTGTGTTGTGTGTATTCAAGTCACAGAGTTGAACCTTCCTTTACACAGAGCAGTTTTGAAAAACTCTTTCTGTGGAATTTGCAAGTGGAGATTTCAAGCGATTTGAGGCTAATCTTTGAAATGGAAATATCTTCGTGTAAAAACTACACAGAATCATTCTCAGAAACTGCTTTGTTATGTGTGCGTTCAGCTCACAGAGTTCCACCTTTCTTTTCATAGAGCAGTTTGGAAAGACTCTGTCTGTAAAGTCTGCAAGTGATTACTTGGACCCCTTTGAGGACTTCGTTGGAAGCGGGATTTTTTCATTTACTGCTAGACAGAAAGAATTCTCAGTAAATCCTTTGTGTTGTGTGTATTCAACTCACAGAGTGGAACCTTCCTTTATTCAGAGCAGTTTTGAAACACTCTTTTTGTGGAATTTGCAAGTGGAGATTTCAAGCGAATTCACGCCCATCTTAGACATGGAAACATCTTCGTATTAAAAGTACACAGGTCATTCGCAGAAACTAGTTTGTGATGTGTGCGTTCAACTCACAGAGTTTAACCTTTCTTTTCATAGAGCAGTTTGGAAACACTCTGTTTGTAAAGTCTGCAGGTGCTTATTTGGACTTCTTTGAGGCCTTCGTTGGAAACGGGATTTCTTCATATAATGCTAGACAGAAGAATTCTCAGTCACTTCTTTGTGTTGTGTGTATTCAAGTCACAGAGTTGAACCTTCTTTTAGACAGAGCAGTTTTGAAAAATTCTTTCTGTGGAATTTGCAATTGGAGATTTTAAGAGATTTGAGGCTAATCTTTGAAATGGAAATATCTTCGTGTAAAAACTACACAGAAGCATTCTCAGAAACTGCTTTGTCATCTGTGCGTTTAGTTCACAGAGTTTCACCTTTCTCTTCATACAGCAGTTTGGAAAGACTCTGTCTGTAAAGTCTGCAAGTGATTAGTTAGACCCCTTTGAGGCCTTCGTTGGAAGCGGGATTTCTCATTTACTGCTAGACAGAAGAATTCTCAGTAAATCCTTTGTGTTGTGTGTATTCAACTCACAGAGTGGAACCTTCCTTTATTCAGAGCAGTTTTGAAACACTCTTTTTGTGGAATTTGCAAGTGGAGATTTCAAGCGATTTGACGCCAATCTTAGACATGGAAATATCTTCATATTAAAAGTACACAGAGTCATTCGTAGAAACTAGTGTGTGATGTGTGCCTTCAACTCACAGAGTTTAACCTTTCTTTTCATAGAGCAGTTGGGAAACACTCTATTTGTAAAGTCTGCAAGTGGATATTTGGACCTCTTTGAGGCCTTCGTTGGAAACGGGATTTCTTCATATAACGCTAGACAGAAGAATTCTCAGTAACTTCTTTGTGTTGTGTGTATTCAACTCACAGAGTTGAACCTTTCTTTAGAGAGAGCAGAGTTGAAACACTCTGTTTTTGGAATTTGCAAGTGCAGATTTCAAGCGATTCTAGGCCTATGGCAGAAAAGGAAATATCTTCGTATAAAAACTACACAGAATCATTCTCAACAACTACTTTGTGATGTGTGCGTTCAACTCACAGAGTTTAACCTTTCTTTTCATAGAGCAGTTTGGAAACACTCTGTTTGTAAAGTCTGCAGGTGCTTATTTGGACTTCTTTGAGGCCTTCGTTGGAAACGGGATTTCTTCATATAATGCTAGACAGAAGAATTCTCAGTCACTTCTTTGTGTTGTGTGTATTCAAGTCACAGAGTTGAACCTTCCTTTACACAGAGCAGTTTTGAAAAACTCTTTCTGTGGAATTTGCAAGTGGAGATTTCAAGCGATTTGAGGCTAATCTTTGAAATGGAAATATCTTCGTGTAAAAACTACACAGAATCTTTCTCAGAAACTGCTTTGTTATGTGTGCGTTCAGCTCACAGAGTTCCACCTTTCTTTTCATAGAGCAGTTTGGAAAGACTCTGTCTGTAAAGTCTGCAAGTGATTACTTGGACCCCTTTGAGGACTTCGTTGGAAGCGGGATTTTTTCATTTACTGCTAGACAGAAGAATTCTCAGTAAATCCTTTGTGTTGTGTGTATTCAACTCACAGAGTGGAACCTTCCTTTATTCAGAGCAGTTTTGAAACACTCTTTTTGTGGAATTTGCAAGTGGAGATTTCAAGCGAATTCACGCCAATCTTAGACATGGAAACATCTTCGTATTAAAAGTACACAGAGTCATTCGCAGAAACTAGTTTGTGATGTGTGCGTTCAACTCACAGAGTTTAACCTTTCTTTTCATAGAGCAGTTTGGAAACACTCTGTTTGTAAAGTCTGCAGGTGCTTATTTGGACTTCTTTGAGGCCTTCGTTGGATACGGGATTTCTTCATATAATGCTAGACAGAAGAATTCTCAGTCACTTCTTTGTGTTGTGTGTATTCAAGTCACAGAGTTGAACCTTCCTTTACACAGAGCAGTTTTGAAAAACTCTTTCTGTGGAATTTGCAAGTGGAGATTTCAAGCGATTTGAGGCTAATCTTTGAAATGGAAATATCTTCGTGTAAAAACTACACAGAATCATTCTCAGAAACTGCTTTGTTATGTGTGCGTTCAGCTCACAGAGTTCCACCTTTCTTTTCATAGAGCAGTTTGGAAAGACTCTGTCTGTAAAGTCTGCAAGTGATTACTTGGACCCCTTTGAGGACTTCGTTGGAAGCGGGATTTTTTCATTTACTGCTAGACAGAAAGAATTCTCGGTAAATCCTTTGTGTTGTGTGTATTCAACTCACAGAGTTGAACCTTCCTTTATTCAGAGCAGTTTTGAAACACTCTTTTTGTGGAATTTGCAAGTGGAGATTTCAAGCGATTTCACGCCAATCTTAGACATGGAAATATCTTCGTATTTAAAGTACACAGAGTCATTCGCAGAAACTAGATTGTGATGTGTGCCTTCAATTCACAGAGTTTAACTTTCTTTTCATAGAGCAGTTTGGAAACACTCTATTTGTAAAGTCTGCAAGTGGATATTTCGACCTCTTTGAGGCCTTCATTGGAAACGGGATTTCTTCATATAACACTAGACAGAAGAATTCTCAGTAACTTGTTTGTGTTGTTTGTATTCAACTCACAGATTTGAAATTTCCTTTAGAGAGAGCAGATTTGAAACACTCTGTTTTTGGAATTTGTAAGTGCCGATTTCAAGCACTTCTAGGCCTATGGCAGAAAAGGAAATATCTTCGTGTAAAAACTACACAGAATCATTCTCAACAACTACTTTGTGATGTGTGCGTTCAACTCACAGAGTTTAACCTTTCTTTTCATAGAGCAGTTTGGAAACACTCTGTTTGTAAAGTCTGCAGGTGCTTATTTGGACTTCTTTGAGGCCTTCGTTGGAAACGGGATTTCTTCATATAATGCTAGACAGAAGAATTCTCAGTCACGTCTTTGTGTTGTGTGTATTCAGGTCACAGAGTTGAACCTTCCTTTACACAGAGCAGTTTTGAAAAACTCTTTCTGTGGAATTTGCAAGTGGAGATTTCAAGCGATTTGAGGCTAATCTTTGAAATGGAAATATCTTCGTGTAAAAACTACACAGAATCATTCTCAGAAACTGCTTTGTTATGTGTGCGTTCAGCTCACACAGTTCCACCTTTCTTTTCATAGGGCAGTTTGGAAAGACTCTGTGAAGTCTGCAAGTGATTACTTGGACCCCTTTGAGGACTTCGTTGGAAGCGGGATTTTTTCATTTACTGCTAGACAGAAGAATTCTCAGTAAATCCTTTGTGTTGTGTGTATTCAACTCACAGAGTGGAACCTTCCTTTATTCAGAGCAGTTTTGAAAAACACTTTTTGTGGAATTTGCAAGTGGAGATTTCAAGCGATTTGACGCCAATCTTAGACATGGAAATATCTTCATATTAAAAGTACACAGAGTCATTCGTAGAAACTAGTTTGTGATGTGTGCCTTCAACTCACAGAGTTTAACCTTTCTTTTCATAGAGCAGTTTGGAAACACTCTATTTGTAAAGTCTGCAAGTGGATATTTGGACCTCTTTGAGGCCTTCGTTGGAGACGGGATTTCTTCATACAACGGCAGACAGAAGAATTCTCAGTAACTTCTTTGTGTTGTGTGTATTCAACTCACAGAGTTGAACCTTTCTTTAGAGAGAGCAGAGTTGAAACACTCTGTTTTTGGAATTTGCAAGTGCAGATATCAAGCGTTTCTAGGCCTATGGCAGAAAAGGAAATATCTTCGTATAAAAACTGCACAGAATCATTCTCAACAACTACTTTGTGATGTGTGCGTTCAACTCACAAAGTTTAACCTTTCTTTTCATAGAGCAGTTTGGAAACACTCTGTTTGTAAAGCCTGCAAGTGCTTTTTTGGACTTCATTGAGGCCTTCGTTGGAAACGGGATTTCTTCATATAATGCTAGACAGAAGAATTCTCAGTCACTTCTTTGTGTTGTGTGTATTCAAGTCACAGAGCTGAACCTTCCTTTAGACAGAGCAGTTTTGAAAAATTCTTTCTGTGGAGTTTGCAAGTGGAGATTTCAAGCGATTTGAGGCTAATCTTTGAAATGGAAATATCTTCGTGTAAAAACTACACAGAATCATTCTCACAAACTGCTTTGTTATGTGTGCGTTCAACTCACAGAGTTTCACCTTTCTTTTCATACAGCAGTTTGGAAAGACTCTGTCTGTAAAGTATGCAAGTGATTACTTGGACCCCTTTGATGACTTCGTTGGAAGCGGGATTTTTTAATTTACTGCTATACAGAAGAATTCTCAGTAAATCCTTTGTGTTGTGTGTATTCAACTCACAGAGTTGAACCTCCCTTTATTCAGAGCAGTTTTGAAACACTCTTTTTGTGGAATTTGCAAGTGGAGATTTCAAGCGATTTCACGCCAATCTTAGACATGGAAATATCTTCTTATTTAAAGTACACAGAGTCATTCGCAGAAACTAGATTGTGATGTGTGCCTGCAATTCACAGACTTTAACTTTCTTTTCATAGAGCAGTTTGGAAACACTCTATTTGTAAAGTCTGCAAGTGGATATTTCGACCTCTTTGAGGCCTTCATTGGAAACGGGATTTCTTCATATAACGCTAGACAGAAGAATTCTCAGTAATTTCTTTGTGTTGTGTGTATTCAACTCACAGAGTTGAACATTTCTTTAGAGAGAGCAGATTGGAAACACGTTCTGTGGAATTTGCTAGTGCAGATTTCAAACGCTTCGAGGACAATGGTAGAAAAGGATATATCTTCGTATTAAAACGAGACAAAATCATTCTCAGAAAACACTTTGTGATGTGTGTGTTCAACTCACAGAATTTAACCTTTCTTTAATCGAGCAGTTTGGAAATACACTCTTTGTAAAGTCTGCAAGTGGATAATTGGCCCTCTTTGAGCCCTTCGTTGGAAACGGGATTTCCTCATATAGTGCTAGACAGAAGAATTCTCAGGAACTTCTTTGTGTTGTTTGTATTCAACTCACAGATTTGAACCTTCCTTTAGAGAGAGCAGATTTCAAACACTCTTTTTTTGCAATTTGCAAGTGCAGATTTCAAGCGCTTCTAGGCCTATGGCAGAAAAGGGAATATCGTCGTATGAAAACTACACAGAATCATTCTCAGAAACTGCTTTGTTATGTGTGCGTTCAGCTCGCAGAGTTCCACCTTTCTTTTCATAGAGCAGTTTGGAAAGACTCTGTCTGTAAAGTCTGCAAGTGATTACTTGGACCCCTTTGAGGACTTCGTTGGAAGCGGGATTTTTTCATTTACTGCTAGACAGAAGAATTCTCAGTAAATCCTTTGTGTTGTGTGTATTCAACTCACAGAGTGGAACCCTCCTTTATTCAGAGCACTTTTGAAACACTCTTTTTGTGGAATTTGCAAGTGGAGATTTCAAGCGAATTCACGCCAATCTTAGACATGGAAACATCTTCGTATTAAAAGTACACAGAGTCATTCGCAGAAACTAGTTTGTGATGTGTGCCTTCAACTCACGGAGTTTAACCTTTCTTTTCATAGAGCAGTTTGGAAACACTCTATTTGTAAAGTCTGCAAGTGGATATTTGGACCTCTTTGAGGCCTTCGTTGGAAACGGGATTTCTTCATATAACGCTAGACGGAAGTATTCTCAGTAACTTCTTTGTGTTGTGTGTATTCAACTCACAGAGTTGAAACTTTCTTTAGAGAGAGCAGAGTTGAAACACTCTGTTTTTGGAATTTGCAAGTGCAGATTTCAAGCGATTCTAGGCCTATGGCAGAAAAGGAAATATCTTCGTATAAAAACTACACAGAATCATTCTCAACAACTACTTTGTGATGTGTGCGTTCAACTCACAAAGTTTAACCTTTCTTTTCATAGAGAAGTTTGGAAACACTCTGTTTGTAAAGCCTGCAAGTGCTTTTTTGGACTTCATTGAGGCCTTCGTTGGAAACGGGATTTCTTCATATAATGCTAGACAGAAGAATTCTCAGTAAATCCTTTGTGTTGTGTGTATTCAACTCACAGAGTGGAACCTTCCTTTATTCAGAGCAGTTTTGAAACACTCTTTTTGTGGAATTTGCAAGTGGAGATTTCAAGCGATTTGACGCCAATCTTAGACATGGAAATATCTTCATATTAAAAGTACACAGAATCATTCGTAGAAACTAGTTTGTGATGTGTGCCTTCAACTCACAGAGTTTAACCTTTCTTTTCATAGAGCAGTTCGGAAACACTCTATTTGTAAAGTCTGCAAGTGGATATTTGGACCTCTTTGAGGCCTTCGTTGGAAAAGGGATTTCTTCGTATAACGCTAGACAGAAGAATTCTCAGTAACTTCTTTGTGTTGTGTGTATTCCACTCACAGAGTTGAACCTTTCTTGAGAGAGAGCAGAGTTGAAACACTCTGTTTGTGGAATTTGCTAGTGCAGATTTCAAACGCTTCGAAGACAGTGATAGAAAAGGATATATCTTCGTATTAAAACTAGACAAAATCATTCTCAGAAAACACTTTGTGATGTGTGTGTTCAACTCACAGAGTTTAACCTTTCTTTAATCGAGCAGTTTGGAAATACACTCTTTGTAAGTCTGCAGCTGGATAATTGTCCCTCTATGAGCCCTTCGTTGGAAACGGGATTTCCTCATATAATGCTAGACAGAAGAATTCTCAGTCACTTCTTTGTGTTGTGTGTATTCAAGTCACAGAGTTGAACCTTCCTTTAGACAGAGCAGTTTTGAAAAATTCTTTCTGTGTAATTTGCAAGTGGAGATTTCAAGCGATTTGAGGCTAATCTTTGAAATGGAAATATCTTCGTGTAAAAACTACACAGAATCATTCTCAGAAACTGCTTTGTCATCTGTGCGTTCAGTTCACAGAGTTTCACCTTTCTCTTCATAGAGCAGTTTGGAAAGACTCTGTCTGTAAAGTCTGCAAGTGATTAGTTAGACCCCTTTGAGGCCTTCGTTGGAAGCGGGATTTCTCATTTACTCCTAGACAGAAGAATTCTCAGTAACTTCTTTGTGTTGTTTCAATTCAACTCAATGATTTGAACCTTCCTTTAGATAGAACAGATTTGAAACACTCTTTTTTTGGAATTTGCAACTGGAAATTTCAAGCGATTTGACGCCAATCTTAGACATGGAAATATCTTCGTATTAAAACTACACAGAGTCATTCGCAGAAACTGGTTTGTGATGTACGCGTTCAACTCACAGAGTTTAACCTTTCTTTTCATAGAGCAGTTTGGAAACACTCTGTTTGTAAAGTCTGCAGGTGCTTATTTGGACTTCTTTGAGGCCTTCGTTGGAAACGGGATTTCTTCATACAATGCTAGACAGAAGAATTCTCAGTCACTTCTTTGTGTTGTGTGTATTCAAGTCACAGAGTTGAAACTTCCTTTAGACCGAGCAGTTTTGAAAAACTCTTTGTGTGGAATTTGCAAGTGGTGATTTCATGCGATTTGAGGCCAATCTTTGAAATGGAAATATCTTCGTGTACAAACTACACAGAATCATTCTCAGAAACTGCTTTGTTATGTGTGCGTTCAACTCACAGAGTTTCACCTTTCTTTTCATTGAGCAGTTTGGAAAGACTCTGTCTGTAAAGTCTGCAAGTGAATACTTGGATTCCTTGGAGGCATTCGTTGGAAGCTTGATTTTTTCACTTACTGCTAGACAGAAGAATTCTCAGTAAATCCTTTGTGTTGTGTGTATTCAACTCACAGAGTGGAACCTTCCTTTATTCAGAGCAGTTTTGAAACACTCTTTTTGTGGAATTTGCAAGTGGAGATTTCAAGCGAATTCACGCCAATCTTAGACATGGAAACATCTTCGTATTAAAAGTACACAGAGTCATTCGCAGAAACTAGTTTGTGATGTGTGCCTTCAACTCACAGAGTTTAAGCTTTCTTTTCATAGAGCAGTTTGGAAACACTCTATTTGTAAAGTCTGCAAGTGGATATTTGGACCTCTTTGAGGCCTTCGTTGGAAACGGGATTTCTTCATATAACGCTAGACAGAAGAATTCTCAGTAACTTCTTTGTGTTGTGTGTATTCCACTCACAGAGTTGAACCTTTCTTGAGAGAGAGCAGAGTTGAAACACTCTGTTTGTGGAATTTGCTAGTGCAGATTTCAAACGCTTCGAAGACAGTGATAGAAAAGGATATATCTTCGTATTAAAACTAGACAAAATCATTCTCAGAAAACACTTTGTGATGTGTGTGTTCAACTCACAGAGTTTAACCTTTCTTTAATCGAGCAGTTTGGAAATACACTCTTTGTAAGTCTGCAGCTGGATAATTGTCCCTCTATGAGCCCTTCGTTGGAAACGGGATTTCCTCTTATAATGCTAGACAGAAGAATTCTCAGTAACTTCTTTGTGTTGTTTGTATTCAACTCACAGATTTGAACCTTCCTTTGGAGAGAGCAGATTTGAAACACTCTGTTTTTGGAATTTGCAAGTGCAGATTGCAAGCGCTTCTAGGCCTATGGCAGAAAATTAAATATCTTCGTATAAAAACTACACAGAATCATTCTCAGAAAACACTTTGTGATGTGTGTGTTCAACTCACAGAGTTTAACCTTTCTTTAATCGAGCAGTTTGGAAATACACTCTTTGTAAGTCTGCAGGTGGATAATTGGCCCTCTTTGAGCCCTTCGTTGGAAACGGGATTTCCTCATATAATGCTAGACAGAAGAATACTCAGTAACTTCTTTGTGTTGTTTGTATTCAACTCACAGATTTGAACCTTCCTTTAGAGAGAGCAGATTTGAAACACTCTGTTTTTGGAATTTGCAAGTGCAGATTTCAAGCGCTTCTAGGCCTATGGCAGAAAAGGAAATATCTTCGTATAAAAACTACACAGAATCATTCTCAACAACTACTTTGTGATGTGTGCGTTCAACTCACAGAGTTTAACCTTTCTTTTCATAGAGCAGTTTGGAAACACTCTGTTTGTAAAGTCTGCAGGTGCTTATTTGGACTTCTTTGAGGCCTTCGTTGGAAACGGGATTTCTTCATGTAATGCTAGACAGAAGAATTCTCAGTCACTTCTTTGTGTTGTGTGTATTCAAGTCACAGAGTTGAACCTTCCTTTACACAGAGCAGTTTTGAAAAACTCTTTCTGTGGAATTTGCAAGTGGAGATTTCAAGCGATTTGAGGCTAATCTTTGAAATGGAAATATCTTCGTGTAAAAACTACACAGAATCATTCTCAGAAACTGCTTTGTTATGTGTGCGTTCAGCTCGCAGAGTTCCACCTTTCTTTTCATAGAGCAGTTTAGAAAGACTCTGTCTGTAAAGTCTGCAAGTGATTACTTGGACCCCTTTGAGGACTTCGTTGGAAGCGGGATTTTTTCATTTACTGCTAGACAGAAGAATTCTCAGTAAATCCTTCGTGTTGTGTGTATTCAACTCACAGAGTGGAACCTTCCTTTATTCAGAGCAGTTTTGAAACACTCTTTTTGTGGAATTTGCAAGTGGAGATTTCAAGCGAATTCACGCCAATCTTAGACATGGAAACATCTTCGTATTAAAAGTACACAGAGTCATTCGCAGAAACTAGTTTGTGATGTGTGCCTTCAACTCACAGAGTTTAAGCTTTCTTTTCATAGAGCAGTTTGGAAACACTCTATTTGTAAAGTCTGCAAGTGGATATTTGGACCACTTTGAGGCCTTCGTTGGAAACGGGATTTCTTCATATAACGCTAGACAGAAGAATTCTCAGTAACTTCTTTGTGTTGTTTGTATTCAACTCACAGATTTGAACCTTCCTTTAGAGAGAGCAGATTTGAAACACTCTGTTTTTGGAATTTGCAAGTGCAGATTACAAGCGCTTCTAGGCCTATGGCAGAAAAGGAAATATCTTCGTATAAAAACTACACAGAATCATTCTCAACAACTACTTTGTGATGTGTGCGTTCAACTCACAGAGTTTAACCTTTGTTTTCATAGAGCAGTTTGGAAACACTCTGTTTGTAAAGTCTGCAGGTGCTTATTTGGACTTCTTTGAGGCCTTCGTTGGAAACGGGATTTCTTCATATAATGCTAGACAGAAGAATTCTCAGTCACTTCTTTGTGTTGTGTGTATTCAAGTCACAGAGTTGAACCTTCCTTTACACAGAGCAGTTTTGAGAAACTCTTTCTGTGGAATTTGCAAGTGGAGATTTCAAGCGATTTGAGGCTAATCTTTGAAATGGAAATAGCTTCGTGCAAAAACTACACAGAATCATTCTCAGAAACTGCTTTGTTATGTGTGCGTTCAGCTCACAGAGTTCCACCTTTCTTTTCATAGAGCAGTTTGGAAAGACTCTGTCTGTAAAGTCTGCAAGTGATTACTTGGACCCCTTTGAGGACTTCGTTGGAAGCGGGATTTTTTCATTTACTGCTAGACAGAAGAATTCTCAGTAAATCCTTTGTGTTGTGTGTATTCAACTCACAGAGTGGAACCTTCCTTTATTCAGAGCAGTTTTGAAACACTCTTTTTGTGGAATTTGCAAGTGCAGATTTCAAGCGAATTCACGCCAATCTTAGACATGGAAACATCTTCGTATTAAAAGTACACAGAGTCGTTCGCAGAAACTAGTTTGTGATGTGTGCCTTCAACTCACAGAGTTTAAGCTTTCTTTTCATAGAGCAGTTTGGAAACACTCTATTTGTAAAGTCTGCAAGTGGATATTTGGACCTCTTTGAGGCCTTCGTTGGAAACGGGATTTCTTCATATAACGCTAGACAGAAGAATTCTCTGTAACTTCTTTGTGTTGTGTGTATTCCACTCACAGAGTTGAACCTTTCTTGAGAGAGAGCAGAGTTGAAACACTCTTTCTGTGGAATTTGCTAGTGCAGATTTCAAACGCTTCGAAGACAGTGATAGAAAAGGATATATCTTCGTATTAAAACTAGACAAAATCATTCTCAGAAAACACTTTGTGATGTGTGTGTTCAACTCACAGAGTTTAACCTTTCTTTAATCGAGCAGTTTGGAAATACACTCTTTGTAAGTCTGCAGCTGGATAATTGTCCCTCTATGAGCCCTTCGTTGGAAACGGGATTTCCTCTTATAATGCTAGACAGAAGAATTCTCAGTCACTTCTTTGTGTTGTGTGTATTCAAGTCACAGAGTTGAACCTTCCTTTAGACAGAGCAGTTTTGAAAAATTCTTTCTGTGGAATTTGCAAGTGGAGATTTCAAGCGATTTGAGGCTAATCTTTGAAATGGAAATATCTTCGTGTAAAAACTACACAGAATCATTGTCAGAAACTGCTTTGTTATGTGTGCGTTCAGCTCACAGAGTTCCACCTTTCTTTTCATAGAGCAGTTTGGAAAGACTCTGTCTGTAAAGTCTGCAAGTGATTACTTGGACCCCTTTGAGGACTTCGTTGGAAGCGGGATTTTTTCATTTACTGCTAGACAGAAGAATTCTCAGTAAATCCTTTGTGTTGTGTGTATTCAACTCACAGAGTGGAACCTTCCTTTATTCAGAGCAGTTTTGAAACACTCTTTTTGTGGAAATTGCAAGTGGAGATTTCAAGCGAATTCACGCCAATCTTAGACATGGAAACATCTTCGTATTAAAAGTACACAGAGTCATTCGCAGAAACTTGTTTGTGATGTGTGCCTTCAACTCACAGAGTTTAACCTTTCTTTTCATAGAGCAGTTTGGAAACACTCTATTTGTAAAGTCTGCAAGTGGATATTTGGACCTCTTTGAGGCCTTCGTTGGAAACGGGATTTCTTCATATAACGCTAGACAGAAGAATTCTCAGTAACTTCTTTGTGTTGTGTGTATTCAACTCACAGAGTTGAACCTTTCTTTAGAGAGAGCAGAGTTGAAACACTCTGTTTTTGGAATTTGCAACTGCAGATTTCAAGCGATTCTAGGCCTATGGCAGAAAAGGAAATATCTTCGTATAAAAACTACACAGAATCATTCTCAACAACTACTTTGTGATGTGTGCGTTCAACTCACAGAGTTTAACCTTTCTTTTCATAGAGCAGTTTGGAAACACTCTGTTTGTAAAGCCTGCAAGTGCTTTTTTGGACTTCATTGAGGCCTTCGTTGGAAACGGGATTTCTTCATATAATGCTAGACAGAAGAATTCTCAGTCACTTCTTTGTGTTGTGTGTATTCAAGTCACAGAGTTGAACCTTCCTTTAGACAGAGCAGTTTTGAAAAATTCTTTCTGTGTAATTTGCAAGTGGAGATTTCAAGCGATTTGAGGCTAATCTTTGAAATGGAAATATCTTCGTGTAAAAACTACACAGAATCATTCTCAGAAACTGCTTTGTCATCTGTGCGTTCAGTTCACAGAGTTTCACCTTTCTCTTCATAGAGCAGTTTGGAAAGACTCTGTCTGTAAAGTCTGCAAGTGATTAGTTAGACCCCTTTGAGGCCTTCGTTGGAAGCGGGATTTCTCATTTACTGCTAGACAGAAGAATTCTCAGTAAATCCTTTGTGTTGCGTGTATTCAACTCACAGAGTGGAACCTTCCTTTATTCAGAGCACTTTTGAAAAACACTTTTTGTGGAATTTGCAAGTGGAGATTTCAAGCGATTTGACGCCAATCTTAGACATGGAAATATCTTCATATTAAAAGTACACAGAGTCATTCGTAGAAACTAGTTTGTGATGTGTGCCTTCAACTCACAGAGTTTAACCTTTCTTTTCATAGAGCAGTTTGGAAACACTCTATTTGTAAAGTCTGCAAGTGGATATTTGGACCTCTTTGAGGCCTTCGTTGGAAACGGGATTTCTTCATACAACGCCAGACAGAAGAATTCTCAGTAACTTCTTTGTGTTGTGTGTATTCCACTCACAGAGTTGAACCTTTCTTGAGAGAGAGCAGAGTTGAAACACTCTGTTTGTGGAATTTGCTAGTGCAGATTTCAAACGCTTCGAAGACAGTGATAGAAAAGGATATATCTTCGTATTAAAACTAGACAAAATGATTCTCAGAAAACACTTTGTGATGTGTGTGTTCAACTCACAGAGTTTAACCTTTCTTTAATCGAGCAGTTTGGAAATACACTCTTTGTAAGTCTGCAGCTGGATAATTGTCCCTCTATGAGCCCTTCGTTGGAAACGGGATTTCCTCATATAATGCTAGACAGAAGAATTCTCAGTAACTTCTTTGTGTTGTTTGTATACAACTCACAGATTTGAACCTTCCTTTGGAGAGAGCAGATTTGAAACACTCTGTTTTTGGAATTTGCAAGTGCAGATTGCAAGCGCTTCTAGGCCTATGGCAGAAAAGGAAATATCTTCGTATAAAAACTACACAGAAATCATTCTCAACAACTACTTTGTGATGTGTGCGTTCAACTCACAGCAGTTTAACCTTTCTTTTCATAGAGCAGTTTGGAAACACTCTGTTTGTAAAGTCTGCAGGTGCTTATTTGGACTTCTTTGAGGCCTTCGTTGGAAACGGGATTTCTTCATATAATGCTAGACAGAAGAATTCTCAGTCACTTCTTTGTGTTGTGTGTATTCAAGTCACAGAGTTGAACCTTCCTTTACACAGAGCAGTTTTGAAAAACTCTTTCTGTGGAATTTGCAAGTGGAGATTTCAAGCGATTTGAGGCTAATCTTTGAAATGGAAATATCTTCGTGTAAAAACTACACAGAATCATTCTCAGAAACTGCTTTGTTATGTGTGCGTTCAGCTCACAGAGTTCCACCTTTCTTTTCATAGAGCAGTTTGGAAAGACTCTGTCTGTAAAGTCTGCAAGTGATTACTTGGACCCCTTTGAGGACTTCGTTGGAAGCGGGATTTTTTCATTTACTGCTAGACAGAAGAATTCTCAGTAAATCCTTTGTGTTGTGTGTATTCAACTCACAGAGTGGAACCTTCCTTTATTCAGAGCAGTTTTGAAACACTCTTTTTGTGGAATTTGCAAGTGGAGATTTCAAGCGAATTCACGCCAATCTTAGACATGGAAACATCTTCGTATTAAAAGTACACAGAGTCATTCGCAGAAACTAGTTTGTGATGTGTGCCTTCAACTCACGGAGTTTAACCTTTCTTTTCATAGAGCAGTTTGGAAACACTCTATTTGTAAAGTCTGCAAGTGGATATTTGGACCTCTTTGAGGCCTTCGTTGGAAATGGGATTTCTTCATATAACGCTAGACAGAAGAATTCTCAGTAACTTCTTTGTGTTGTGTGTATTCCACTCACAGAGTTGAACCTTTCTTGAGAGAGAGCAGAGTTGAAACACTCTGTTTGTGGAATTTGCTAGTGCAGATTTCAAACGCTTCGAAGACAGTGATAGAAAAGGATATATCTTCGTATTAAAACTAGACAAAATCATTCTCAGAAAACACCTTGTGATGTGTGTGTTCAACTCACAGAGTTTAACCTTTCTTTAATCGAGCAGTTTGGAAATACACTCTTTGTAAGTCTGCAGCTGGATAATTGTCCCTCTATGAGCCCTTCGTTGGAAACGGGATTTCCTCTTATAATGCTAGAGAGAAGAATTCTCAGTCACTTCTTTGTGTTGTGTGTATTCAAGTCACAGAGTTGAACCGTCCTTTAGACAGAGCAGTCTTGAAAAATTCTGTCTGTGGAATTTGCAAGTGGAGATTTCAAGCAATTTGAGGCTAATCTTTGAAATGGAAATATCTTCGTGTAAAAACTACACAGAATCATTCTCAGAAACTGCTTTGTTATGTGTGCGTTCAGCTCACAGAGTTCCACCTTTCTTTTCATAGAGCAGTTTGGAAAGACTCTGTCTGTAAAGTCTGCAAGTGATTACTTGGACCCCTTTGAGGACTTCGTTGGAAGCGGGATTTTTTCATTTACTGCTAGACAGAAGAATTCTCAGTAAATCCTTTGTGTTGTGTGTATTCAACTCACAGAGTGGAACCTTCCTTTATTCAGAGCAGTTTTGAAACACTCTTTTTGTGGAATTTGCAAGTGGAGATTTCAAGCGAATTCACGCCAATCTTAAACATGGAAACATCTTCGTATTAAAAGTACACAGAGTCATTCGCAGAAACTAGTTTGTGATGTGTGCCTTCAACTCACGGAGTTTAACCTTTCTTTTCATAGAGCAGTTTGGAAACACTCTATTTGTAAAGTCTGCAAGTGGATATTTGGACCTCTTTGAGGCCTTCGTTGGAAACGGGATTTCTTCATATAACGCTAGACAGAAGAATTCTCAGTAACTTCTTTGTGTTGTGTGTATTCCACTCACAGAGTTGAAGCTTCCTTGAGAGAGAGCAGAGTTGAAACACTCTGTTTGTGGAATTTGCTAGTGCAGATTTCAAACGCTTCGAAGACAGTGATAGAAAAGGATATATCTTCGTATTAAAACTAGACAAAATCATTCTCAGAAAACACTTTGTGATGTGTGTGTTCAACTCACAGAGTTTAACCTTTCTTTAATCGAGCAGTTTGGAAATACACTCTTTGTAAGTCTGCAGCTGGATAATTGTCCCTCTATGAGCCCTTCGTTGGAAACGGGATTTCCTCTTATAATGCTAGACAGAAGAATTCTCAGTAACTTCTTTGTGTTGTTTGTATTCAACTCACAGATTTGAACCTTCCTTTAGAGAGAGCAGATTTGAAACACTCTGTTTTTGGAATTTGCAAGTGCAGATTACAAGCGCTTCTAGGCCTATGGCAGAAAAGGAAATATCTTCGTATAAAAACTACACAGAATCATTCTCAACAACTACTTTGTGATGTGTGCGTTCAACTCACAGAGTTTAACCTTTCTTTTCATAGAGCAGTTTGGAAACACTTTGTTTGTAAAGTCTGCAAGTGCTTATTTGGACTTCTTTGAGGCCTTCTTTGGAAACGGGAGTTCTTCATATAATGCTTGACAGAAGAATTCTCAGTCACTTCTTTGTGTTGTGGTATTCAAGTCACAGAGTTGAAACTTCCTTTAGACAGATCAGTTTTGAAAAACTCTTTCTGTGGAATTTGCAAGTGGAGATTTCAAGCGATTTGAGGCTAATCTTTGAAATGGAAATATCTTCGTGTAAAAACTGCACAGAATCATTCTCAGAAACTGCTTTGTCATCTGTGCGTTCGGTTCACAGAGTTTCACCTTTCTCTTCATAGAGCAGTTTGGAAAGACTCTGCCTGTTAAGTCTGCAAGTGATTAGTTAGACCCCTTTGAGGCCTTCGTTGGAAGCGGGATTTCTCATTTACTGCTAGACAGAAGAATTCTCAGTAAATCCTTTGTGTTGTGTGTATTCAACTCACAGAGTGGAACCTTCCTTTATTCAGAGCACTTTTGAAAAACACTTTTTGTGGAATTTGCAAGTGGAGATTTCAAGCGATTTGACGCCAATCTTAGACATGGAAATATCTTCATATTAAAAGTACACAGAGTCATTCGTAAAAACTAGTTTGTGAGGTGTGCCTTCAACTCACAGAGTTTAACCTTTCTTTTCATAGAGCAGTTTGGAAACACTCTATTTGTAAAGTCTGCAAGTGGATATTTGGACCTCTTTGAGGCCATCGTTGGAAAAGGGATTCTTCATATAACGCTAGACAGAAGAATTTTCAGTAACTTCTTTGTGTTGTATGTATTCAACTCACAGATTTCAACTTTTCTTTAGAGAGAGCAGAGTTGAAACACTCTTTTTGTGGAATTTGCTAGTGCAGATTTCAAACGCTTCGAAGACAGTGATAGAAAAGGATATATCTTCGTATTAAAACTAGACAAAATCCTTCTCAACAACTACTTTGTGATGTGTGCGTTGAACTCACAGAGTTTAACCTTTCTTTTCATAGAGCAGTTTGGAAACACTCTGTTTGTAAAGTCTGCAGGTGCTTATTTGGACTTCTTTGAGGCCTTCGTTGGAAACGGGATTTCTTCACATACTACTAGACAGAAGAATTCTCAGTCACTTCTTTGTGTTGAGGTATTCAAGTCACAGAGTTGAAACTTCCTTTAGACCGAGCAGTTTTGAAAAACTCTTTCTGTGGAATTTGCAAGTGGAGATTTCAAACGATTTGAGGCTAATCTTTGAAATGGAAATATCTTCGTGTAAAAACTACACAGAATCATTCTCAGAAACTGCTTTGTTATGTGTGCGTTCAGCTCACAGAGTTCCACCTTTTTTTTCAGAGAGCAGTTTGGAAAGACTCTGTCTGTAAAGTCTGCAAGTGATTACTTGGACCCCTTTGAGGACTTCGTTGGAAGCGGGATTTTTTCATTTACTGCTAGACAGAAGAATTCTCAGTAAATCCTTTGTGTTGTGTGTATTCAACTCACAGAGTGGAACCTTCCTTTATTCAGAGCAGTTTTGAAACACTCTTTTTGTGGAATTTGCAAGTGGAGATTTCAAGCGAATTCAGGCCAATCTTAGACATGGAAACATCTTCGTATTAAAAGTACACAGAGTCATTCGCAGAAACTAGTTTGTGATGTGTGCCTTCAACTCACAGAGTTTAACCTTTCTTTTCATAGAGCAGTTTGGAAACACTCTATTTGTAAAGTCTGCAAGTGGATATTTGGACGTCTTTGAGGCCTTCGTTGGAAACGGGATTTCTTCATATAACGCTAGACAGAAGAATTCTCAGTAACTTCTTTGTGTTGTGTGTATTCCACTCACAGAGTTGAACCTTTCTTGAGAGAGAGCAGAGTTGAAACACTCTGTTTGTGGAATTTGCTAGTGCCGATTTCAAACGCTTCGAAGACAGTGATAGAAAAGGATATATCTTCGTATTAAAACTAGACAAAATCATTCTCAACAACTACTTTGTGATGTGTGCGTTCAACTCACAGAGTTTAACCTTTCTTTTCATAGAGCAGTTTGGAAACACTCTGTTTTTAAAGTCTGCAGGTGCTTATTTGGACTTCTTTGAGGCCTTCGTTGGAAACGGGATTTCTTCATATAATGCTAGACAGAAGAAATCTCAGTCACTTCTTTGTGTTGTGGTATTCAAGTCACAGAGTTGAAACTTCCTTTAGACAGAGCGGTTTTGAAAAACTCTTTCTGTGGAATTTGCAAGTGGAGATTTCAAGCGATTTGAGGCTAATCTTTGAAATGGAAATATCTTCGTGTAAAAACTACACAGAATCATTCTCAGAAACTGCTTTGTCATCTGTGCGTTCAGTTCACAGAGTTTCACCTTTCTCTTCATAGAGCAGTTTGGAAAGACTCTGTCTGTAAAGTCTGCAAGTGACTAGTTAGACCCCTTTGAGGCCTTCGTTGGAAGCGGGATTTCTCATTTACTGCTAGACAGAAGAATTCTCAGTAAATCCTTTGTGTTGTGTGTATTCAACTCACAGAGTGGAACCTTCCTTTATTCAGAGCAGTTTTGAAACACTCTTTTTGTGGAATTTGCAAGTGGAGATTTCAAGCGAATTCACGCCAATCTTAGACATGGAAACATCTTCGTATTAAAAGTACACAGAGTCATTCGCAGAAACTAGTTTGTGATGTGTGCCTTCAACTCACGGAGTTTAACCTTTCTTTTCATAGAGCAGTTTGGAAACACTCTATTTGTAAAGTCTGCAAGTGGATATTTGGACCTCTTTGAGGCCTTCGTTGGAAACGGGATTTCTTCATATAATGCTAGACAGAAGAATTCACAGTAACTTCTTTGTGTTGTTTGTATTCAACTCACAGATTTGAACCTTCCTTTAGAGAGAGCAGATTTGAAACACTCTGTTTTTGGAATTTGCAAGTGCAGATTACAAGCGCTTCTAGGCCTATGGCAGAAAAGGAAATATCTTCGTATAAAAACTACACAGAATCATTCTCAACAACTACTTTGTGATGTGTGCGTTCAACTCACAGAGTTTAACCTTTCTTTTCATAGAGCAGTTTGGAAACACTCTGTTTGTAATGTCTGCAGGTGCTTATTTGGACTTCTTTGAGGCCTCCGTTGGAAACGGGATTTCTTCATATAATGCTAGACAGAAGAATTCTCAGTCACTTCTTTGTGTTGTGTGTATTCAAGTCACAGAGTTGAACCTTCCTTTACACAGAGCAGTTTTGAAAAACTCTTTCTGTGGAATTTGCAAGTGGAGATTTCAAGCGATTTGAGGCTAATCTTTGAAATGGAAATAGCTTCGTGTAAAAACTACACAGAATCATTCTCAGAAACTGCTTTGTTATCTGTGCGTTCAGTTCACAGAGTTTCACTTTTCTCTTCATAGAGCAGTTTGGAAAGACTCTGTCTGTAAAGTCTGCAAGTGATTAGTTAGACCCCTTTGAGGCCTTCGTTGGAAGCGGGATTTCTCATTTACTGCTAGACAGAAGAATTCTCAGTAAATCCTTTGTGTTGTGTGTATTCAACTCACAGAGTTGAACCTTCCTTTATTCAGAGAAGTTTTGAAAAACACTTTTTGTGGAATTTGCAAGTGGAGATTTCAAGCGATTTGACGCCAATCTTAGACGTGGAAATATCTTCATATTAAAAGTACACAGAGTCATTCCTAGAAACTAGTTTGTGATGTGTGCCTTCAACTCACAGAGTTTAACCTTCCTTTTCATAGTGCAGTTTGGAAACACTCTATTTGTAAAGTCTGCAAGTGGATATTTGGACCTCTTTGAGTCCTTCTTTGAAAACGGGATTTCTTCATATAACGCTAGACAGAAGAATTCTCAGTAACTTCTTTGTGTTGTTTGTATTCAACTCACAGATTTGAACCTTCCTTTAGAGAGAGCAGATTTGAAACACTCTGTTTTTGGAATTTGCAAGTGCAGATTACAAGCGCTTCTAGGCCTATGGCAGAAAAGGAAATATCTTCGTATAAAAACTACACAGAATCATTCTCAACAACTACTTTGTGATGTGTGCGTTCAACTCACAGAGTTTAACCTTTCTTTTCATAGAGCAGTTTGGAAACACTCTGTTTGTAAAGCCTGCAAGTGCTTTTTTGGACTTCATTGAGGCCTTCGTTGGAAACGGGATTTCTTCATATAATGCTAGACAGAAGAATTCTCAGTCACTTCTTTGTGTTGTGTGTATTCAAGTCACAGAGTTGAACCTTCCTTTAGACAGAGCAGTTTTGAAAAATTCTTTCTGTGTAATTTGCAAGTGGAGATTTCAAGCGATTTGAGGCTAATCTTTGAAATGGAAATATCTTCGTGTAAAAACTACACAGAATCATTCTCAGAAACTGCTTTGTCATCTGTGCGTTCAGTTCACAGAGTTTCACCTTTCTCTTCATAGAGCAGTTTGGAAAGACTCTGTCTGTAAAGTCTGCAAGTGATTAGTTAGACCCCTTTGAGGCCTTCGTTGGAAGCGGGATTTCTCATTTACTGCTAGACAGAAGAATTCTCAGTAAATCCTTTGTGTTGTGTGTATTCAACTCACAGAGTGGAACCTTCCTTTATTCAGAGCAGTTTTGAAAAACACTTTTTGTGGAATTTGCAAGTGGAGATTTCAAGCGATTTGACGCCAATCTTAGACATGGAAATATCTTCATATTAAAAGTACACAGAATCATTCTCAACAACTAGTTTGTGATGTGTGCGTTCAACTCACAGAGTTTAACCTTTCTTTTCATAGAGCAGTTTGGAAACACTCTGTAAAGCCTGCAAGTGCTTTTTTGGACTTCATTGAGGCCTTCGTTGGAAACGGGATTTCTTCATACAACGCTAGACAGAAGAATTCTCAGTAACTTCTTTGTGTTGTGTGTATTCAACTCACAGAGTTGAACCTTTCTTTAGAGAGAGCAGAGTTGAAACACTCTGTTTTTGGAATTTGCAAGTGCAGATTTCAAGCGATTCTAGGCCTATGGCAGAAAAGGAAATATCTTCGTATAAAAACTACACAGAATCATTCTCAACAACTATTTTGTGATGTGTGCGTTCAACTCACAGAGTTTAACCTTTCTTTTCATAGAGCAGTTTGGAAACACTCTGTTTGTAAAGCCTGCAAGTGCTTTTTTGGACTTCATTGAGGCCTTCGTTGGAAACGGGATTTCTTCATATAATGCTAGACAGAAGAATTCTCAGTCACTTCTTTGTGTTGTGTGTATTCAAGTCACAGAGTTGAACCTTCCTTTACACAGAGCAGTTTTGAAAAACTCTTCCTGTGGAATTTGCAAGTGGAGATTTCAAGCGATTTGAGGCTAATCTTTGAAATGGAAACATCTTCGTGTAAAAACTACACAGAATCATTGTCAGAAACTGCTTTGTTATGTGTGCGTTCAGCTCACAGAGTTCCACCTTTCTTTTCATAGAGCAGTTTGGAAAGACTCTGTCTGTAAAGTCTGCAAGTGATTACTTGGACCCCTTTGAGGACTTCGTTGGAAGCGGGATTTTTTCATTTACTGCTAGACAGAAGAATTCTCAGTAAATCCTTTGTGTTGTGTGTATTCAACTCACAGAGTGGAACCTTCCTTTATTCAGAGCAGTTTTGAAACACTCTTTTTGTGGAAATTGCAAGTGGAGATTTCAAGCGAATTCACACCAATCTTAGACATGGAAACATCTTCGTATTGAAAGTACACAGAGTCATTCGCAGAAACTAGTTTGTGATGTGTGCCTTCAACTCACGGAGTTTAACCTTTCTTTTCATAGAGCAGTTTGGAAACACTCTCTTTGTAAAGTCTGCAAGTGGATATTTGGACCTCTTTGAGGCCTTCGTTGGAAACGGGATTTCTTCATATAACGCTAGACAGAAGAATTCTCAGTAACTTCTTTGTGTTGTGTGTATTCCACTCACAGAGTTGAACCTTTCTTGAGAGAGAGCAGAGTTGAAACACTCTTTCTGTGGAATTTGCTAGTGCAGATTTCAAACGCTTCGAAGACAGTGATAGAAAAGGATATATCTTCGTATTAAAACTAGACAAAATCATTCTCAACAACTACTTTGTGATGTGTGCGTTCAGCTCACAGAGTTTAACCTTTCTTTTCATAGAGCAGTTTGGAAACACTCTGTTTGTAAAGTCTGCAGGTGCTTATTTGGACTTCTTTGAGGCCTTCGTTGGAAACGGGATTTCTTCATATAATGCTAGACAGAAGAATTCTCAGTCACTTCTTTGTGTTGTGTGTATTCAAGTCACAGAGCTGAACCTTCCTTTACACAGAGCAGTTTTGAAAAACTCTTTCTGTGGAATTTGCAAGTGGAGATTTCAAGCGATTTGAGGCTAATCTTTGAAATGGAAATATCTTCGTGTAAAAACTACACAGAATCATTCTCAGAAACTGCTTTGTTATGTGTGCGTTCAGCTCACAGAGTTCCACCTTTCTTTTCATAGAGCAGTTTGGAAAGACTCTGTCTGTAAAGTCTGCAAGTGATTACTTGGACACCTTTGAGGACTTCGTTGGAAGCGGGATTTTTTCATTTACTGCTAGACAGAAGAATTCTCAGTAAATCCTTTGTGTTGTGTGTATTCAACTCACAGAGTGGAACCTTCCTTTATTCAGAGCAGTTTTGAAACACACTTTTTGTGGAATTTGCAAGTGGAGATTTCAAGCGAATTCACGCCAATCTTAGACATGGAAACATCTTCGTATTAAAAGTACACAGAGTCATTCGCAGAAACTAGTTTGAGATGTGTGCCTTCAACTCACGGAGTTTAACCTTTCTTTTCATAGAGCAGTTTGGAAACACTCTATTTGTAAAGTCTGCAAGTGGATATTTGGACCTCTTTGAGGCCTTCGTTGGAAACGGGATTTCTTCATATAACGCTAGACAGAAGAATTCTCAGTAACTTCTTTGTGTTGTGTGTATTCCACTCACAGAGTTGAACCTTTCTTGAGAGAGAGCAGAGTTGAAACACTCTGTTTGTGGAATTTGCTAGTGCAGATTTCAAACGCTTCGAAGACAGTGATAGAAAAGGATATATCTTCGTATTAAAACTAGACAAAATCATTCTCAGAAAACACTTTGTGATGTGTGTGTTTAACTCACAGAGTTTAACCTTTCTTTAATCGAGCAGTTTGGAAATACACTCTTTGTAAGTCTGCAGCTGGATAATTGTCCCTCTATGAGCCCTTCGTTGGAAACGGGATTTCCTCTTATAATGCTAGACAGAAGAATTCTCAGTAACTTCTTTGTGTTGTTTGTATTCAACTCACAGATTTGAACCTTCCTTTGGAGAGAGCAGATTTGAAACACTCTGTTTTTGGAATTTGCAAGTGCAGATTGCAAGCGCTTCTAGGCCTATGGCAGAAAAGGAAATATCTTCGTATAAAAACTACACAGAATCATTCTCAACAACTACTTTGTGATGTGTGCGTTCAACTCACAGAGTTTAACCTTTCTTTTCATAGAGCAGTTTGGAAACACTCTGTTTGTAAAGTCTGCAGGTGCTTATTTGGACTTCTTTGAGGCCTTCGTTGGAAACGGGATTTCTTCATATAATGCTAGACAGAAGAATTCTCAGTCACTTCTTTGTGTTGTGTGTATTCAAGTCACAGAGTTGAACCTTCCTTTACACAGAGCAGTTTTGAAAAACTCTTTCTGTGGAATTTGCAAGTGGAGATTTCAAGCGATTTGAGGCTAATCTTTGAAATGGAAATATCTTCGTGTAAAAACTACACAGAATCATTCTCAGAATCTGCTTTGTTATGTGTGCATTCAGCTCACAGAGTTCCACCTTTCTTTTCATAGAGCAGTTTGGAAAGACTCTGTCTGTAAAGTCTGCAAGTGATTACTTGGACCCCTTTGAGGACTTCTTTGGAAGCGGGATTTTTTCATTTACTGCTAGACAGAAGAATTCTCAGTAAATCCTTTGTGTTGTGTGTATTCAACTCACAGAGTGGAACCTTCCTTTATTTAGAGCAGTTTTGAAACACTCTTTTTGTGGAATTTGCAAGTGGAGATTTCAAGCGAATTCACGCCAATCTTAGACATGGAAACATGCTTCGTATTAAAAGTACACAGAGTCATTCGCAGAAACTAGTTTGTGATGTGTGCCTTCAACTCACGGAGTTTAACCTTTCTTTTCATAGAGCAGTTTGGAAACACTCTATTTGTAAAGTCTGCAAGTGGATATTTGGACCTCTTTGAGGCCTTCGTTGGAAATGGGATTTCTTCATATAACGCTAGACAGAAGAATTCTCAGTAACTTCTTTGTGTTGTGTGTATTCAACTCACAGAGTTGAACCTTTCTTTAGAGAGAGCAGAGTTGAAACACTCTGTTTTTGGAATTTGCAAGTGCAGATTTCAAGCGCTTCTAGGCCTATGGCAGAAAAGGAAATATCTTCGTATAAAAACTACACAGAATCATTCTCAACAACTACTTTGTGATGTGTGCGTTCAACTCACAGAGTTTAACCTTTCTTTTCATAGAGCAGTTTGGAAACACTCTGTTTGTAAAGCCTGCAAGTGCTTTTTTGGACTTCATTGAGGCCTTCGTTGGAAACGGGATTTCTTCATATAATGCTAGACAGAAGAATTCTCAGTCACTTCTTTGTATTGTGTGTATTCAAGTCACAGAGTTGAACCTTCCTTTAGACAGAGCAGTTTTGAAAAATTCTTTCTGTGGAGTTTGCAAGTGGAGATTTCAAGCGATTTGAGGCTAATCTTTGAAATGGAAATATCTTCGTGTAAAAACTACACAGAATCATTCTCAGAAACTGCTTTGTCATCTGTGCGTTCAGTTCACAGAGTTTCACCTTTCTCTTCATAGAGCAGTTTGGAAAGACTCTGTCTGTAAAGTCGGCAAGTGATTAGTTAGACCCCTTTGAGGCCTTCGTTGGAAGTGGGATTTCTCATTTACTGCTAGACAGAAGAATTCTCAGTAAATCCTTTGTGTTGTGTGTATTCAACTCACAGAGTGGAACCTTCCTGTATTCAGAGCAGTTTTGAAACACTCTTTTTGTGGAATTTGCAAGTGGAGATTTCAAGCGAATTCACGCCAATGCTTAGACATGGAAACATCTTCGTATTAAAAGTACACAGAGTCATTCGTAAAAACTAGTTTGTGATGTGTGCCTTCAACTCACAGAGTTTAACCTTTCTTTTCATAGAGCAGTTTGGAAACACTCTATTTGTAAAGTCTGCAAGTGGATATTTGGACCTCTTTGAGGCCTTCGTTGGAAACGGGATTTCTTCATACAACGCTAGACAGAAGAATTCTCAGTAACTTCTTTGTGTTGTGTGTATTCAACTCACAGAGTTGAACCTTTCTTTAGAGAGAGCAGAGTTGAAACACTCTGTTTTTGGAATTTGCAAGTGCAGATTTCAAGCGCTTCTAGGCCTATGGCAGAAAAGGAAATATCTTCGTATAAAAACTACACAGAATCATTCTCGACAACTACTTTGTGATGTGTGCGTTCAACTCACAGAGTTTAACCTTTCTTTTCATAGAGCAGTTTGGAAACACTCTGTTTGTAAAGTCTGCAGGTGCTTATTTGGACTTCTTTGAGGCCTTCGTTGGAAACGGGATTTCTTCATATAATGCTAGACAGAAGAATTCTCAGTCACTTCTTTGTGTTGTGTGTATTCAAGTAACAGAGTTGAACCTTCCTTTACACAGAGCAGTTTTGAAAAACTCTTTCTGTGGAATTTGCAAGTGGAGATTTCAAGCGATTTGAGGCTAATCTTTGAAATGGAAATATCTTCGTGTAAAAACTACACAGAATCATTCTCAGAAACTGCTTTGTTATGTGTGCGTTCAGCTCACAGAGTTCCACCTTTCTTTTCATAGAGCAGTTTGGAAAGACTCTGTCTGTAAAGTCTGCAAGTGATTACTTGGACCCCTTTGAGGACTTCGTTGGAAGCGGGATTTTTTCATTTACTGCTAGACAGAAGAATTCTCAGTAAATCCTTTGTGTTGTGTGTATTCAACTCACAGAGAGGAACCTTCCTTTATTCAGAGCAGTTTTGAAACACTCTTTTTGTGGAATTTGCAAGTGGAGATTTCAAGCGAATTCACGCCAATCTTAGACATGGAAACATCTTCGTATTAAAAGTACACAGAGTCATTCGCAGAAACTAGTTTGAGATGTGTGCCTTCAACTCACGGAGTTTAACCTTTCTTTTCATAGAGCAGTTTGGAAACACTCTATTTGTAAAGTCTGCAAGTGGATATTTGGACCTCTTTGAGGCCTTCGTTGGAAACGGGATTTCTTCATATAACGCTAGACAGAAGAATTCTCAGTAACTTCTTTGTGTTGTTTGTATTCAACTCACAGATTTGAACCTTCCTTTAGAGAGAGCAGATTTGAAACACTCTGTTTTTGGAATTTGCAAGTGCAGATTACAAGCGCTTCTAGGCCTATGGCAGAAAAGGAAATATCTTCGTATAAAAACTACACAGAATCATTCTCAACAACTACTTTGTGATGTGTGCGTTCAACTCACAGAGTTTAACCTTTCTTTTCATAGAGCAGTTTGGAAACACTCTGTTTGTAAAGCCTGCAAGTGCTTTTTTGGACTTCATTGAGGCCTTCGTTGGAAACGGGATTTCTTCATATAATGCTAGACAGAAGAATTCTCAGTCACTTCTTTGTGTTGTGTGTATTCAAGTAACAGAGTTGAACCTTCCTTTAGACAGAGCAGTTTTGAAAAATTCTTTCTGTGGAATTTGCAAGTGGAGATTTCAAGCGATTTGAGGCTAATCTTTGAAATGGAAATATCTTCGTGTAAAAACTACACAGAATCATTCTCAGAAACTGCTTTGTCATCTGTGCGTTCAGTTCACAGAGTTTCACCTTTCTCTTCATAGAGCAGTTTGGAAAGACTCTGTCTGTAAAGTCTGCAAGTGATTAGTTAGACCCCTTTGAGGCCTTCGTTGGAAGCGGGATTTCTCATTTACTGCTAGACAGAAGAATTCTCAGTAAATCCTTTGTGTTGTGTGTATTCAACTCACAGAGTGGAACCTTCCTTTATTCAGAGCAGTTTTGAAAAACACTTTTTGTTGAATTTCCAAGTGGAGATTTCAAGCGATTTGACGCCAATCTTAGACATGGACATATCTTCATATTAAAAGTACACAGAGTCATTCGTAGAAACTAGTTTGTGATGTGTGCCTTCAACTCACAGAGTTTAACCTTTCTTTTCATAGAGCAGTTTGGAAACACTCTATTTGTAAAGTCTGCAAGTGGATATTTGGACCTCTTTGAGGCCTTCGTTGGAAACGGGATTTCTTCATATAACGCTAGACAGAAGAATTCTCAGTAACTTCTTTGTGTTGTTTGTATTCAACTCACAGATTTGAACCTTCCTTTAGAGAGAGCAGATTTGAAACACTCTGTTTTTGGAATTTGCAAGTGCAGATTACAAGCGCTTCTAGGCCTATGGCAGAAAAGGAAATATCTTCGTATAAAAACTACACAGAATCATTCTCAACAACTACTTTGTGATGTGTGCGTTCAACTCACAGAGTTTAACCTTTCTTTTCATAGAGCAGTTTGGAAACACTCTGTTTGTAAAGTCTGCAGGTGCTTATTTGGACTTCTTTGAGGCCTTCGTTGGAAACGGGATTTCTTCATATAATGCTAGACAGAAGAATTCTCAGTCACTTCTTTGTGTTGCGTGTATTCAAGTCACAGAGTTGAACCTTCCTTTACACAGAGCAGTTTTGAAAAACTCTTTCTGTGGAATTTGCAAGTGGAGATTTCAAGCGATTTGAGGCTAATCTTTGAAATGGAAATATCTTCGTGTAAAAACTACACAGAATCATTCTCAGAAACTGCTTTGTTATGTGTGCGTTCAGCTCACAGAGTTCCACCTTTCTTTTCATAGAGCAGTTTGGAAAGACTCTATCTGTAAAGTCTGCAAGTGATTACTTGGAACCCTTTGAGGACTTCGTTGGAAGCGGGATTTTTTCATTTACTGCTAGACAGATTTGTTTTGTTTTTTGTTTTTTTGTTTTTGAGACAGAGTTTCACTCTTGGTGCCTAGGCTGGAGTGCAATAGCACGATTTTGGCTCACCGCAACCTCCGCTTCCCGGGTTCAAGCAATTCTCCTTCCTCGCCCTCCCGAGTAGCTGGGATTACACTGCTGTGCCACCACGCCCGGATAATTTTGGATTTTTACACAAAACTGGGTTTCACTTTGCTGATAATGATTT